>NT_187647.1:0-161218 GCF_000001405.40 Homo sapiens
GAATTCTTCCCAAAGTCAGCTCTCTCACGCCACTACCTGGAATGCCTGGTTGAGAAGGTAAAAGGTTTTCTTGTCCCTTTTTAAATTTGGATCGAAAGGAGAACATTGTAAGAAGTGGTTCTTTAAATGGTGACTCTTGTGAATTTGGTGCTGGGTGCCCGTTGCTTTTTGGCCACAGCTTCCCAGAAATAGCCGCTGTTTTCTTTGTCTCTGCCTTTTGTGGGGTTTGCCCTAAGGCCTGTTTTCTGTCTTGAGAACTTGGTCATAACCAGTGAGGATGCTGTCTCCGGTCTCTGCCCACTGGGAGATCCGAGTTGCTAGGCATGCTTCTGATGGCGGTCACCGGCCAGGACCGAAACATGAAGTGTCTCTGTTCGACCACATCTGCTCTCAGGAACTTACCTTAACCGCCTCACCATGGTTACCTTGTTACCAGTGAGCATCTTTACTTCCTTAGCCTATCTTCAAGAGAAATTTTGGATCCTGAAGGGGGCTACATCCTTTGCATCCTTTCTGGGGACCTCTTGCATCCATGGTTAAGCCATACAGGGCTTACTAGTTTTGAATCACAGCGGAAGTAGGTTTACTTTTGGTTTGGAAGTTGGTTAATATTTGGAGCATTATAGGAACTTTTTGTTTGTTTGATCTTCTGTCCTAAGCTAAAATGGAACTAGAAGGGAGGAAAGAAAGACTTCAATACCACCGGGAATGTTTACTGTTGTCCTGGTTAAAAGCTGATAATAAGATATTTGAAAAGGGACTTTCTTTAGAGCTCCCTGATGAGAAGTCAGGCTAACTGGAAGCTGATGCTCAGGCTATAACTCGTGGTGGCTCTGTGTTTTCTCTGCCAGACTCTGCTTCTCCCCCTGGGAACTTCTCAGCCAGCCGAGCCATCCTTTCCCAGCACTGCTGACTGTGTGCTGTGCACATTTTTTGATTGGCGTGATTCTTGACTGTTTACAAATGGAGCAAATAAAAGATCTTTAAGGTCTTTCCTACTTAGTAAGAGGCATTGTTTAAATTGACTTAGAAATAAATGAGCATACCTACAACTGTAAAAAAAAAAAATAGGAACTAACCCAAATGTTTTTAAAGTTCACTTGACCTGGGGTAAACTTTGGTGAATAAAGGTGAGTTTAGATTTGCCGGTTTGATAAAAGCAGGTGTCTTCAGAGTCCTCAGCGTTAAAGATGATGCAGACACGCAACTTTCATCTCTGCTAAATGTTTAATTGTAAAGCATGAGTCTGACCTAAAAACAAGTGTGCCCGCAGAAGTGAGGCGGCACGCCCGTTACTCCTCACGCAGGAAGCGCAGCAATGAAACAAAACGCCGTGCGTTTAACGCTTCGGTTTCTTGATTTTGAGATGACCGCCTGACAGTCACATGCTGTAAAAATGGTTAATAGGAAAACACCTCAAGATGATGGATGCTTAATATCTCAGGAAGTTTCTCAGGAGTAACACAGACAAGTTAAAATACTAAAACATTAATCGCTGAACATAAGTGTAAGCTTATTCCTGGCTTCGAAAGTTCTGTGGAAAGATAAAATTTGTTTGGGTCTATTAGAAAACATTGTGTCTTGTTCTACATTGAGAAATTGTTCTATGAGGAAGCACGTTTCTGAAAAATTATAAAATATGTATTCATAAAATGTTATCATATAACAGTTCAAAATTGCTTACTTCCTAGGTTCCACTAAAAATTAAGGGCACTAAGATTTAAAAATTCTAATTAATGTGTGTAACTCTATATACAAAGTATGAAAAATAATGATACAATTTTTGGTATTTTTGGTAAAAAAATTACAAAAGACATGAGGGTTTTTTTTAGAAGAAGAATAATTTTGTCTAATTTGGAGGTTATTTAAAGGTTGCTTGAAAATGCAAATTTTGAAAGGAAATAGAAACAAGGCAGAAAGGAACCAGTAAATGGGACAAAAAATAAGCAAAGAAAGTTATATCTTTGGTAGGGAAAGTTGAAAAGAAAAAGAGAATAAAACTTTTTTTTATATGAGAAAATCTTGTGTGGCCAAAATTATAAGGGAAAAAAGAGTAAATTTTTATCCTAAGTTAGAATGATTGGTTGTTCCAGTATAAAAAAGAGGAAGTATAGAACGAAACTGAAGGTTTGAACAAATTCTAGAAGGTTTGAGAAAATTGCAAAAGGTTTATGGAAGATGAATTTTATGAAATACATTTTGTATGTGATCAAGTTGACTAAAAATAGAAGGAAATAATTTATAAGTCTTTCTAAAATAGAACATTAAGATCTAGGCTGGGCGTGGTGGCTCATGCCTGTAATCCCAGCACTTTGGGAGGCTGAAGAGGGCAGATCACTTGAGGTCAGGAGTTCAAGACCAGCCTGGCCAACATGGTGAAACTCCTTCTCTACTAAACATACAAAAATTAGCTGGGTGTAGTGGCGCATGCCTGTAGTCCCAGCTACTAGGGAGGCTGAGGCAGGAGAATCGCTTGAACCTGGGAGGCGGAGGTTGCAGTGAGCTGAGATTGCGCCACTGCACTCAAGCCTGGGCAACAGAGTGAGACTCTGTCTCAAAAAAAAAAAAAAGAAGAAGAAAAAAGATCTAAAGTTTGCCGACATGAAACTAGAATTTGGTCCTCTCTGTTAATACGACAAGATTTTCTTGTAGTATTGATCTACCCCTGATTAAAAAATAATCAGGGTGTTCCTTGCCTTTTTGGTAACTGTCGCAGGTGAGTGGTGACCCTCTGGGGCTGGTGGTGTGGTGAGAAGAATTTACCAAGACAGTTGCAGATAAAGAAAAGCAGATTTATTGAAGAAAGCATGAAAATACATTGCGAGAGTGCAATGGGCAAGTTAGCAGAGAGGAGCTGACTGCAAGGAGGCGAAGGCTTGGTGAGGGTTTTATAAGACAGTCTCTGTGCTGTGAGCTGAAGAGGGCTTTGACAGTGCTGATAACGCCAAGGTTGCCGTGAGCTAACTTGTAATTTTCCCATCAGTCAAGGATCTGGTGATAGCTGGAAGACTGAGTTATTTGTGCAGGAGGGTTATGTGTTCTGGACCATGAGAAAGGCAGACTTAAGGCTTATGTGCCTTCTCTTTTTGCTTCCTTCAGTCCCGCCAGCCCCACTCCCCCTCCGTAATGAGGCCTCCACAGTAACTGGCCTAGAAAAATTTATCAAGATAATGTCGTGTACTTTGCGCTGTCTTTATTAGGTTTTTGATTGCTTGGAAAAATTCTTCCTTTAAAGAGGTAGGGTTTTTTTTTTTTTTGTCTGTGTAACTTTATTTGCTTTTAAAGTATTTTAATTATCACTATAGTTAAATGGATGACTATTATTTCACAGTGACCTATTATCCTGTTTTAATTAAGTGTTTTAAACCTTTGACATTTTTGACAAGCTTTCCCAAGATCAAATTCTAAATTAAATCTTTTTATTCTTACCTTGTAAAAGAGATATATTAATTAAGTTTATTTGACATGCTAAATTATTAAATATGTGGGAAGCATTGTAAACAAGAAATGATGTTTAACCTTTTTTTTTTTTTTTTTTTTTTTCTGAGACGGAGTCTGGCTCTGTCACCCAGGCTGGAGTGCAGTGGCGCGATCTTGGCTCAGGGCAAGCTCCACCTCCCGGGTTCACGCCATTCTCCTGCCTCAGCCTCTCGAGTAGCTGGGACTACAGGTGCCCACCACCACACCCAGCTAATTTTTTTGTATTTTTAGTAGAGACGGGGTTTCACCTTGTTAGCCAGGATGGTCTCGATCTCCTGACCCCATGATCGGCTTGCCTCGGCCTCCCAAAGTGCTGGGATTACAGGAGTGAGCCACTGCGCCCGGCCTTAACCATTCTTTAAGTTATATTTGTATGGATACAGTATTAGTGTATTCCAAAATTTGTATAAAATTCTTAAATATCTGATATATCTTGGTATAATGTTATCAGTAGTAGTTCTAATTATTGTGTTAAAATGTTCTATGCTATGGAAATAACCAAAGTTCCTTGTCAATTTCTCATTATAATGAACTCTCATCAGACTTTTAACCATGACCCGTCTATGTTTTTGTCATCCATGTAAAGATCCAAATCCAAATTATTGTTTTGATGTTTCTCTAAAAGCTTTTGCAATCAACTACAGTCCAAATTGCTTCTAATGAAATGACTTTGGCAGTCCTCTTGAACTCTGATTGCTGATACCTTTAAGATCATACCGTTGGAGAAAGTAGATATTTTTGGGACTCTGTTGAAGAAACTGATGGGTTCATAAATCTGCTAACCTAGATCAAGCAGAATGAGAATTAATTACATGGGACTGAATGAATTGACGAAAAGGAATGATGGGTTTTTACAGTTTTAATTTAAAATATTTTTGGTTCTCTATTTTAATGTTTTGTTTTCCAGGTTTAAGGAAAATAGTTTTCTTAAGCTATCTATAATTTACACCAATTTGGTAAAGTATAACTTTGTGAACAAAAATTGAAACATAGGCTTCTTTCCCTACCTTATCTCTCCAAAATTTGTGAACTATTTGTGAGTATGATTATGTTTTTGGCAATACAGTCATTTGTGTAAGTTCAATAAGAGCCTGTTCTCTTCACAGCAGCATACAATGGAAAATATTGGTTATATTACCAGGTTTTGACTGGAATGCCAGGCTTAACGTTGCTCAGAAGTTGCTTCTATGAGGACGTCTCCCAGCAGCTGTCAGTGTTTCCAATGAGTCATCGCCAGCCCCTGCAATGAGCCTCTCAGGCTGGTAAGTTTTGTTTCAGAACCGCTTCCTCAAGCTTCTTTTGCCTTTAAAAGCTTCCTCTTGCCCCAGCCTCCCAGGGAATGCCTGTGGTCTGTCATGGCTCACACATCCTGGTTGATAATCCACTGCTGTTCTCCACGGAATGCCTTCATTTTGAGAGCTGCTCGCTGCCTGTTGTGGTTTCAGTTGACGGCCCACCGCTGTGTGCAGAGTTCACCAGCCGCTGTGGTGTGCAGTGCAGCAGCTGACCTGCCTGCCTTGTGGTTTTCTAATCCCATTGAGGGGACGTCTTAGGTGTTCTCACCAAGAATGCACAGCAACAGTGCTGGGTGGGCCACATCCTCCCTCACGTTTGGTGCCACCAGTTTTATAGATTTTGGCTACTGTGGGTGTGTGTGGTGGTTTTTGTTGGTGTTTACGACGCATCTTCCTGGTGCTCGAGTCTGTCGAGCACTTTTTCTTGTGTTTATTTGCCATCATTTGGCGAAGTGTTCAAATCCTTTGACCGTTGTTTCACCAAGTTGTTTTATTATGAAATTTTAGGGGTTACTTATTCTGGATCTCAGCACTTGGATAAATATTTGAGAATATTTTTTGCAGTAAGTGACATCGTTTTATGTGGATGAACAGAAGATTTTAATTTTGATAAAGTCTAATGGATATATGTGATGTTAGTGTAATTTGAATGCATACATATGTATATTTAATGCATTCTTTTATGATGATTGTGCACTTCATATGAAATGCGGCAACCTTGCCTTGCCATCCCGGAGGCCTCTGCTTCTCTGATCTGTGGGTGTCACAGGCACTTCACTTACTCACACCTTATGGCACGGTTTCTTTTGCTCTAAGCCTGCACGTGTGTTTTAAAGGTAATTTCTTCCGTTAGAGAAGTCGCGTAGGCTCACCCTGCTATTTGCCATTTCTGGAGCTCTTTATCTCCTTCTTCATATCTGCATTTCCCTCTGGAATCATTTCCATTCAGCCTGAAGAACTCTTCTGCCTGGGACTCCACCTTCTTTTCTAGCAGCTGGGCTCATTGGGAGCTCTGTCCTCTGGTGGCTCTGGCCAGGGGACGCTGGGTTTTCTCTTAGGGTTTCAGTTGGCCCGTGTGGTGCCAATGTCAACGTGTCTGTAGGCCAGAGCCAGCAATGAGCACCCCCTCGGTCTGGCCCTGAGCTCCAAGGCCCCACTCCCACGGGATCTTGCTGCCAGGACCCCACTCTCTGCATCTTGTCCAGAGTGTCGAGGAGGGCAGGGTCCAGCGGGATCTCTCGGCCCTCCCAGGGCTGAGTCTGTGCTCTGACCTTTCCTGGGAGGCACTCAGGGCCAACAGAGCAACAAGGGGCCTTTCCCTGTGGCTCCCTCCCCTCTGGAGAAAATGGGTCAGACCTGGGTTTCTCCATAGTCACTGTCCCTAAAATGAAGCCGGGCTGCCAGAGGCGGTTGCATCTCCCGGCACCAAGACCCCAGAGTCCCTGTGAGAAAGAGGACCAACGACGATGGAAGCCTTTCTCTAATGTGCGCACAGCCAGGCCGCTCCTCTGAAGGCGCTGAGCCGCCTCTAATCACAGCGCCACACTGGCCACAGGTCGCTGGGTATAGGATGAACCCAGCTGTGAATAGGATGCATTTCCTGGGAGGTTTCTGTGAAGTTACTGAACTGCCAAAAGGTAAGCAGTTTTAATTGATTTGTGAGTCTTCAATTAAGCACAGCAGAATGCTAATTAAATATTCTCTGTTCTTTAAATAGAGAATGCTTTAAATAATTCAGCACAATCTTTGCATAAATCACACCATTCAGCTGAGGTGCCTGTCAGCAGTCAAGTGATTGAGAGCACAAACTGTCCCAAAGACACAGCCCCCTTCCCCCTGGAGACGCGCACAGCCTGCAGAAGAGATGTCACCTGATGCAGCGTTGTGGTTTAAAAACTCATTATGGGAAGCATGAGGCTGGACCCAGGGGACCCTGGAGGTGATGCAGGGGCTTTGGCAGCCTGGAAGCTGTTGGAGGAGGGGCCCTTGGTGGAAGTGGGGACAGTTTGAGCCTCCGGCCTCCAATTCCCTCCCGCTGGCTTCTGGGCCGCACCTCCAGGAATCCAGCTAGACCCGCAGGGCTCTGACTCCAGACTTTATTAAATGTTTCCTCTAACGGTTCTGGCCATTCTGCTGGGCCATTAAAGGCTACCCCAGGGCCTCAGATATGAGCGTGGTGTCTGTATGTGGTCCTTTCATGGAGGGCAGGAAGCATCATAATTACTTTTTTTTTTAACGGTTTTCAATTTGTGTTGACAAAGAGCCTTAGTGAATCTGTTGGAAGAAGAGTGACTTCAAAATGAACCTGACTCCCTGTATGTTAGGAGTCCATATTCTCTGATACAGTTAACGTTTTCCTTCCAACCTCTTCACTGTTCAAGCAAAGTGGTATTTTAGCTATTCACTGTTTGACACTTTAATAGGAGTTTTGATGAGCAATTTCAGGATGTGGAATTGCTACACTGCACCAGGTTCCTGCAGGAGCAGCAGCCTCAGCCTGTGGATGGGACGTGAGATCTTGGTGTTTCTCCTGGAGGAAACGCTGTGCTGCTGTGTTGATGACGGGGCGTGTGTGGGGTTGATGATGGGTGATGGAGTGTGGGGTTGGTGACAGGTGACGGAGTGTGGGGTTGACGACGGGTGATGGAGTGTGGGGATGATGATGGGTGATGGAGTGTGGGGATGATGACGGGTGATGGAGTGTGGGGATGATGATGGGTGATGGAGTGTGGGGATGATGATGGGTGATGGAGTGTGGGGATGATGACGGGTGATGGAGTGTGGGGATGATGATGGGTGATGGAGTGTGGGGATGGTGATGGAGTGTGGGGATGGTGATGGAGTGTGGGGATGATGATGGGTGATGGAGTGTGGGGATGATGATGGAGTGTGGGGATGATGACGGGTGATGGAGTGTGGGGATGATGATGGGTGATGGAGTGTGGGGATGGTGATGGAGTGTGGGGATGGTGATGGAGTGTGGGGATGATGATGGGTGATGGAGTGTGGGGATGATGATGGAGTGTGGGGATGATGACGGGTGATGGAGTGTGGGGTTGACGACGGGGCGTGGGGTTGATGATGGAGTGTGGGGATGATGATGGGTATGGAGTGTGGGGATGATGATGGGTATGGAGTGTGGGGTTGATGACGGGTGATAGAGGAGTGTGGGGATGTGATGGGTGATGGAGTGTGGGGATGATGATGGAATGTGGGATTGATGACGGATGATGGAGTGTGGGGATGATGATGGGTGATGGAGTGTGGGGATGATGATGGAGTGTGGGGTTGATGATGGGTGATGGAGTGTGGGGTTGATGATGGGTGATGGAGTGTGGGGATGATGTTGGGTGATGAAGTGCGGGGATGATGATGGAGTGTGGTGATGATGACAGGTGACGGAGTCTGGGGTTGATGACGGGGCGTGGGGTTGATGATGGAGTGTGGGGATGATGATGGGTATGGAGTGTGGGGATGATGATGGATATGGAGTGTGGGGTTGATGACGGGTGATACAGTGTGGGGATGTGATGGGTGATGGAGTGTGGGGATGATGATGGGTATGGAGTGTGGGATTGATGACGGGTGATGGAGTGTGGGGATGATGATGGGTAATGAAGTGTGGGGATGATGATGGAGTGTGGTGATGATGACAGGTGACGGAGTGTGGGGTTGATGACGGGGCGTGGGGTTGATGATGGAGTGTGGGGATGATGACGGGTGACCGAGTGTGGGGTTGATGACGGGGCGTGGGGTTGATGATGGGGTGTGGGGATGATGACGGGGCATGGGGTTGATGACGGGGCGTGGGGCTGTTGATGGGGTTTGGGGTTGATGACGGGGTGTGTGGTTGATGACGGGGTATGGGGTTGATGATGGGGCGTAGGGTTGATGATGGGGTGTGGGGTTGATGATGGGGCATGGGGTTGATGACGGGGCCTGGGGTTGATGACGGGGTGTGGGGTTGATGACGTGGTGTGGGGTTGATGACGGAGTATGGGGTTGATGATGGGGTGTGGAGTTGATGACGGGGTGTGGGGTTGATGACGGGGCATGTGTGGGGTCGATGATGGGGTGTGGGGTTGATGATGGGGTGTGGGGTTGATGAAGGGGCGTGGGGTTTATGACGGAGCTTGGGGCTGATGATGGGGTGTGGGGCTGATGATGGGGTGTGGGGCTGATGATGGGGCATGGGGTTTATGATGGGGTGTGGGATTAATGACGGAGTGTGGCGTTGATGATGAGGCGTGGGGTTTATGACAGAGCGTGGGGTCAATGACAGGGTGTGGGGTTGATGACGGGGTGTGGGGTTGATGACGGGGCATGGGGTTTATGACAGCTTGTGTCAGACGAAGCCACATCAACTCATTCTGAGCACCCCTTTCCTCAAAACATAAGGATGAGCATGACCAAAATCTCAAGACATTTTTCCTAAGTCCTTAAGACGGATGAACTTCTACAGGTAAGTAGGTAGATTAATAAACAGAGGTAAGGAATGTTGGCATGAAGAAGCTCCCTAGGCTGCTGTGTGGCTGAAGCTCTGACTGGTCATGCTGGTTAAGGATGCGTCTGAGCAAGATCGGTCGCTGACAGGTAGGTGTGTAGAAAATAACCTATATGTGGTGGTCCATTTTCAGTTCTAAGTGCCTTCATATAGGTTTAAGCAGGCTATGTGGAAATAGAGAAATAAAGAAGCAGAAATGTACTGAGTCACCACCCTGCCCTCCTTCCTGCTTTCCCTTTCACCCAGCGGCCACGTGCCTATCAGTAGGAGCCCCCTCAACTACCCTCTCCTCACCCCACCAAAGAATTTAGTTTAGGCTAGCTTGCAACATAAATAATTATACCCTTTCTTATCAGCTACGTGCAGCCACCAGGGCCATAGTCAAATGTTTGAAGAGTCCTGAGACAGTTGCAATGCATGGTGGGCTGCAATAAAATGCAGCAGAAAGATCCTAAAGAACAGACTTGAAATCTTAATCCAACGACCAATAGGTGATGTCCAGGAAGATCGTAACCCCATTTACTCAGTCAATGAGGAACTGGGGGAGGGACCTGCGCACTAGGGGATAAATTGCTTGTTGAAACTCTGCTGGGGGTGGCTGCATGCCAGCCAGACACCCAGTCTTGCAAGACTGTCATTGAAAATCTCCGTTTTGCTGTTCTCCGGGTCTCTGCGTCCAGTCTTTGTGTTTGGACGGGTGAGTTTGTTTCTCACAGGTGCGACTCTGTCTCTATTTGCATCAGGTTCAGTTTCTTCCTGGTTGACCTTGTGGGTGTGAATGTTGTCACAGACCTGCCGGGCCATCTTTCTGCAAGAAGATAAAGGAAGACCAGGAGTGCCTGCCGAACTCCTATGGAGGAAGTCTAGGAGAGGAAGGGGTAGGACCAAGGGCACTGCTGTGGGCTGAAGGTTTGCGTCCCCCCAAATCCTTACGTTGAAATCCTAAACCCCAGTGGGATGGTGTTTGGAGATGGGACCTTTGGGACGTGATTAGGTCATGGGGTGGAGCCCCATGAGGGGATTAGTGCCCTTGTAAGAAGAAACACCAGAACCAGCCTCTTCTCTCTCTACTCACCACCCTTCCTCTCTGCTAAGGACAGGGAGGAAGATGGTGTCTGCAAACCAGGAAGCAGCCTTGCCAGACACAGGATTGGCCACAACCTTGACCCCAGACTTCCAGCCTCCAGAACTGTGAGAAATAAATGTCCATATTGACTAGGGGCACAGGGCATGGGGGAACTGGTTCCAGACCTGCCTCCTGGGAAGTTGGGAGGGGGCATTTCAACCTGTTAATTTCTCAAATTATGTAGTCATTCAAAAAGAAATAGAAACACTTCATTAACTTTGTGATTGCCAAATTATTGATCAATTCTCATAGAAAGTTATAACATTTCCCCTTTTGGTACATTTCTGTTAAAAAGAAGGTTGTCTTTCCAGCCTTATGTTTTGTAGTTTAATTTGCTCACATTCATTATAATCCATTATTTAATACATTTTTCTTCCATTTGATCATATTACTTGCTGATAGGAAGGACTGAGTTCATTTTCAGCGTGTCTGGCTTTTCCATTTCTGTGGCCTGGGAAGGTGGGTGGCTACATCATCATCCATGGTCTCTGAAATATCCTGTGTTACCAAGGCCTGCTTGTTCCACCAAACTGCTCCATAGGCAGTTGTGACACCCAGAAAGATGCTGATATGGTTTGGCTGTGTCCCCACCCAAATCTCATCTTGAATTGTAGTTCCCATAATCCCCAGGTGTCTGGGAGGGGCCCAGTGGGAGGTAATTGAGACATGGGGGCGGGTTTTCCCATGCTGTTCTTGTGATAGTGAATAAGTCCCAAGAGATTCTGATGGTTTTATAAACAGGAATTTCCCTGCACAGGCTCTCTTGCCTGCCACCATGTAAGACCTGCCTCTGCTCCTCCTTCACCTTCCGCCATGATTGTGAGGCCACCCCAGCCATGTGGAACTGTGAGTCCATTAAACCTCTTTTTCTTTATAAATTACTCAGTCTCAGGTATTTCTTCATAGCATTATGAAAATGGACTAATACAGATGCAGCTAGCATGAGGGAACTGTCCTTGCCAACTTGGAGTTGTTCTCAGAAACTGCAGTAACTCAATACTGGGAACAGAAATGCACTACCCTGAGGTCAGGGATTTTAGGATACAGTCCCGAAGCTTCTGTTGCCTTCAATGCCTTCACTGACATGGGATTTAGGGATTCAGAGTCCTGAAGCTTCTGTTGCCCGGGTAAGCCCTCAGTGCCTTCACTGACGTGCACAGAGCTGCTCTTTCTGTGAATGGATGCTATCCCAACCAGGAGGCCTGGAAACTGCGGCTTTGCGATTTTGAATTTATGGAAGGAGTCCTTGGTGACCCTCACAATCTGGAGGCCGAGAGTCCAAGGTCAAGCAGCTGGTTCCTCTGGAGGCTCCATGGAAGAAGCCCTTCCATGCTGGTTTTCTTCCTCTGGTGTTCCTGGCAACCCTTGGTGTTCCTTGCCTGGTGAATGAATCACCCACCTTTGCCTCCATCTGTCCATGGTGTTATCCCTGTGTCTCTGCCCAAATCTCTCTCTCCTTATGAGGACACCGAATGGATGAGCTCATTTCAACTTGATCACATGTGCAAAGACCCTATTTCCAAATGAGGTCACATTTTCAGGTGTGAGGGTTAGAACTTCAACTATCTTTTTGGGGGACACAGCACCATCCACAGCCGTGAGGACATTGGACAAAGCCCAACTTGGACCTGACTCGGGTCAGGGGGGAGGGGCACAGGGAGATTTGCCTTTTTCCTGTTTTGCCATTTTCCACGTAACTCGTATTTGCTACTTTAGAGGAACCATTTATGGAAAACTACAGGATAAAGGATAAACAAATGGTGGAGGAAAGGAAATCTGTTAGCAATCAGAGAGATTGTTAATTTCCTTGATGAGGAGCCAATTGGTTGAAGGGTGCCTGTAATTTACAACTTCAGTCTTGGGAAAAATGTGCACAGTTATTTTTTGGTCTCCATGAAGGAAACGTTTAGACGGGCACTCATGGGGCTGATTACCGATTCAGAGGAACATGCAGGGGGCATCCACCCTCCAGGCGTGGGAAGAGAGAAGCACATGCTTCCGGGAGGCCAAGGCTGAGCCGGGCTTAGGAGTGTCCTCTCCAGGTACTAAGTTAATTTTATGGGAGCTGAAGCCTCGCTGCTTCTCGGAGCCTGGGGAGTTGGGAGCACTGGCCCTGGGCTCTGTGTGGCCTGGAACTGCGACTGCAGCTTGGAATTCTTGGGCTCAGCTATGGCGGCCTGTGCCCTTCTCCAGGCATGGTTTGGGCCGTGTCCCTGGAACAGCAGCTGAGGTCCTGGTGCCAGCCCCATCACAGACGGCAGGGGACCTGAGATAGACATGGCCCCCTCTGCCCAGGCCCCCTTGCTGGAAAGGCAGAGGCACATCTTACCTCCGGGGACCCCACTCTCACCTCGGAGGATGTTTTAGGCCATGCTGTGTGTTGCCATCTTTGGGAAGAACTAGTTTAACGAAGGAGTCATGAATTTGGCGAGGGGCCGCCTCTGCTGACGGTGTTTCCTGAGTCCCTGCCCTTCACTGGGGCACGAGGGCACATGTGCCTCCGTTGCGCACCTGGGTGGGTGGGGCTGGCCGTGACCAGCGGTTCCAGGTGACGCTGCCCTGGGAGAGCTCCTTGGCAGGGCTCTGGGGTGAGCTGGGCAGGGACCCGGGAGGTCAGAGGCCCCTGGGTCTTGGCCAAGCAGCTGGAGAGCTGGTGCTGGGAGTGTGTGCTGAGGGGTAGCACGGGCCGAAGGGCTCCTTCCCACTGGCTCTGTTGGCTCAGCCTCGAATTGTCTGCAGGGACGCCTGCTGGCCACACATCACCATGAGGATGCACTTGACTGAATCTGGAAGAATCCCAGGGCTGTGGAAGATTTTGGAAGATAAAATGCCCCCAAGGAAGCATTAATTAATAAATGAATAAATATGCCCAGGCTTAAACGAATTTCCTGCAACAGCTATTCACTGGGCAGGCCCTGGTAGGGTCCTTGCCTTCCCCACACCTGTTTGAAGTGTAGGTCCTTCTCAGAATAGGCAGAAGGAGCAGGTGGCACTGATGAGATGGAGCAGTCGTCACCCACATTCCCACACCTTACCAGGATGAGGATCTCCAAACTGGGGCAGAGCTGGGCTCCATGAGTGAGCATTGCGTTGAGAAACCACCCTGTGTAAGTACAAAGAGGCTTGTCCCACAGCTCCTGGTCACCAAAAGCTGTCAGCAACTCTCACTGGACCTTGGGTCTTGGGCACGTCCCTCCAGCCTCAGTGCCCCGGGAAGGAATTCACAGAGAGCGGCTTCAACCTCCCAGGGCCATGTAGAGGCCAAACCAGAGCGACTGTGGGTAGAGCGCCTTGCCCAACCTCGGCCCGGCTACAAGGGCATCGCAGGCCAGACCCTTCACTTGGCTCTCCCCATGTGCCCACGTCCTCCGGGAGCTCCGGCTGTCACAGCTGAAGGTAGAAATCTTCTTACGGTCCCCCACACTGTGTCTGCACAAAGTGAGACGCTGACTTCCCAACTCACCCACCTGCTGCGCTGGGTCAAGCTGATAAGAGCAGCCCCTGAAGCCACAGAAAAATCCTAGGCATGCCAGGAAAGTGCGAAGCCCCCGGGGGCCCTGGGATGTGAGCTCTGCGCGTGGAGGTGTGTTGGCTTGGGGTGATCTTTCCAATGGACTTCAGAGCCTCCAGGAGACCAGAGAACAGAGCTCTGGGACGGGGGGCACAGGCGCGATGTGGGGTCAGCTTGTCTCCCCGAGGAGACTCCACAGTCCAGAGCTCTGGCACAGGGGGGCACAGGCGCGGTGTGGGGTCAGCTTGTCTCCCCGAGGAGACTCCACAGTCCAGAGCTCTGGACAGGTGGGCACAGGCACAGTGTGGGGTCACTTGCCCCCCTCACCCTGGGAGACTTCACAGTCCAGGCAGAACTCACCGGAAGGAAACAAACTCAGGTCTGCCAGGGCACATTTTGCACTTGCCATGAGTGTGGTGGTTCTGTTAACATTCCCAGTAAATCCACTGTCCCATCAGGACACAGGAAGGGAGGTTCCTGGGGCAGGGGCCTTGCCAGGGGCATGTGACTTCTGGTGGAGCTCTGGGCCCCGCAGGTCTGGACATGGCTGTATTCTTCATTAGTGCCATCTCTGGGCCATGTTTCTTTAAAGACGTGACGAAGAGTCTCTTTATTTTTATTAATTGAATCATTAATTAGTTTTTGCATAGGGAAGTTGCCAGGTTTTAGTTCTTTTAGAGAATTCTCAGCTTCCCAAATAGGTATTAATGATCAAAGCTCATTTTCAGTCATTGGAGGGGGGGCAAAAGGAGATGTAATTGCTAATTATTTGGAATCATCTGAACTGCAATCACTCGAATGGCAGACGATTTACGCAACAGCCTGGAACCCTGAAGCTTGTTTGGAATTCTTCCAGGTCAAGAGGCTGGGAGGTGCCCTCTGCCTTTCAAGATCAGAGAGTAGCTGATCCCCCTCCTGCCGTCATTTATGGACTGAATAACCACAGAGAGTGTGAGGCCGGCGGAAACTTGGCAGTGCCTGTTTGTCATTGTCAGTTTCAAATACTTTTTAATTTTGAATAGTTGTAGATTTTCAGAAGGGTTATGAAGATTGTGCAGGCAGTTTCTGCAAGCTGCTGCTAATTTCCCTCAGCTTCCACGTCTTCGCTGCCATGGTCCACCTGCAGCAGCCAAGAAAGCCGCGTTGCATCGCCACGAGCTAAACTCCAGCCTTCGGATTTCAGAGCTTCCATCCATGTCCTCTCTCTGCTGTGACCCCACCTGGGGTGCCACGTCGTGTCTGATCCTCCTGTGTCCTCGGCTTCTCTGGTCTGTGACATTTCTGTCTCTCCTTTGCCATGACCCTGGCAGTGTGGAGGAGACTGTTGGGCACCCTGTGGATGCCCCTCAGTCTGGGTTCATCTGTCCTTTTCCTCATGGTTAGCCTGAGGTGGTGGGCTTCCGCAAATAATACCAAGGAGGTGAAATGTTCTTCCCCTCACGGCCTCTCAGGGGCATAGAACATCCTCTTGACTTCACAGGTGGCGTTAACCCGATCGCTTGTGTGAAAATAACGCATCGGGAGGCACTAGGCTGAGGGCTTCAGTACCTCAGAAGCAAACCCAGTTCCTGCACACAGAAACCCCATTCAGGGTAAGGGGTCCTGTCCTAGGAAAGAAAATTCAAGTTTAAACAGAAACTGCCAGCTAACCTCAAAGCAGAGGCCGTGTGACTGCTGTTTCACTTCAATCCATCCTTTTTCTGTTCTTCCTTCCAAGAACACTGATGAAGGTTTTCCTTGTGCTCCTTGGTAGAGCCCAAACTGCTGTAGTTCAGTGCTGCCCAGCTCATGGATTCCTGTCTCCTCAAATAACTCTTTACACTTTCACGTGCCTACGTTTATCTTCTAACACTTGGATCAGGTGGCGTCCGCCAGGTGTCTTCGCTGTAAAGTCACTGTCTTCCCTTCCACCGCTCCACTCTTTGGGATGAGTCACGAAGCCTGTGCTACCTTCAGGGGAGGGCTGGGGAAGAGTTAAACTCCATCTCCTGGAGGGGCTGCTACATATGATCATATGATGTTATTTGGAGTAAGAAAGATTTGCCTCTTCTCCACATTTACTTGTTTATTCAATTATTTATACCAGTATGGGCTCATGATATTTACTGTATATTTTTTATTATAATTCAATCATCCAATATATTATTTCTTTTGTTGTTCAAATTTTTCCATCTTTGGCCATTGGCAGCCCTTTCACGTTGGCATCTGTGTCCATTGGACAATCCCCCATCCTTTTGTTTTTTTGAAAATTTCCTTACTTTTTGATATCATGAGATACTCCAGGCTCATCTTGTCTTCTCTCTGATCCACCCTAGAATCAGCCGTGGTTCCCCTCATTGGAGAATGATATTTAGAAACAGAAACCTGGGTGCTGGGTGTGCTCAGTGGGACGAGGGTGTCACTGCCTCCAGCCCTGTCAGTGAAGAGAGCTGCGTAATGTGCGTGCAGATAATACCCTATGTGTGAACACATACTTCAGATTATCTCTGGATCTGTCCATCCTTATATCGATGCAAAGCTAAACATGAGTTCACACTGATGTCTCTGATTCTCATCTAGTACCACAGGGTTCAGTCTAAACTTCCTCTTATTTACAAATAACCTTCCCCTCCAACACAAGAAGCCTGCCTCCCATGGTTTGCCATCCGTTGACTTATCTGTTCAATCCCAGTGTATGTGAATTGTTAACTTGTACCCCTGTGGGAAATTTACCAACAAAGGAATGATATTAATGTCCTTTTGTCTTTAGCTTTACAATTTCCACTCAAAACATCATATTCTGAAGTTACTCAGGTCAGCTTCCTGTTTCTTTAAGTTCGCCCTCATTACTGTCCGCGCTTTGTGATGTGCAGTCATGTGTTACCACCCCAGTGCCAGAAAGAAGAGCTCCTCGTGTGTCCGCCGATGGCCAAGCACTCCTCTCCCCAGCCCCTGGCAACTGCTAGTCCAAGCTTGTCCAACCCACAGCCCGTGGGCTGCATGCGGCCCAGGATGGCTTTGAATGTGGCCCAACACAAATTCGTAAACTTTCTTAACACCTTATGAGATTTATACATGGACTTTTTTTGCTCAAGAGCTATTGTTAGTGTTAGTATATTTTATGTGTGGCCCAAGGCACAATTCTTCTTCCAGTGTGGCCCAGGGAAGCCAAAAGATTGGACACCCCGGCCCTAGTCTGTTCATTCCTATAGTTTTAATTTTTCCAAAGTATCATATGAATGGAATCATGTGATATGTAGCCCATGAATCATGTATATGGGTTTTTCACTTAGTAGAGCACATTTAAGATTCATCATTGTTGCTATGTGAATCAATAGCTGGTTCCTTTTATCTCTCCGCAGCTCCTACTGCACTGAGAAGCACGTGTTCTCCATTTCCCTGGGGGAGACCATTGTATTGGGCAGTTTGGAACAAAACACCATGGACTGGGAGGCTTACACAACAGAAATTTATTTCTTGCTGTTCTAGAGGCTGGGAAGCTCAAGGTGCTGGCTGCATATTCATTCTGAGGCCTCTTCTGATGTGCAGGCAGCTGCCTTCTGACTTGTGCTCACATTGGAGAGAGGGAGTCAGCTTTGGTGTCTCTTCTTGTAAGGACACTAACCCCATTCACTAGGGCCCCACCCTCATGACCTAATCACCCCCAAAGGTCCTGTCTCCAGACATATCACATGGGGCAGAGCTTCAATGTACCAATTCTGGGGGGTCACAAACCCTCCGTCCATAGCAGACATCTTGGTTGCTCCCAGTTTTTAGAGATTAAGAATAAAACAACTGTAAATATTTACATGCAGGTTTTTGTGTGAACAAGTTTTCATGCCAGCTGGGTAAATAGCTAGGGCTGTGATGGCCAGATCCTGTGGTAAGATTCTGTTCCACATTCTAAGAAACTGCCCAACTGTCTTCCACAGTGGCTGTGCCATTTTGCAGTTCTGACAGCAATTCTGTAGCTCCACAACCTCATCAGCACTGGGTGGTGGTGCTTGAATTTTGCATTTTAGCCATTCTAATTGGTGTGGGTAGTAGTTCTCATTTGGGGTTCAATTTGCTTTTTCCTTTTTTTTTTTTTTTTTTTGGCAGGCTGGACATCTCCTAGAGGGCAATAGATTCTGGTTTTGTTTTTTTTTTTAGACAGAGTCTCATGCTGTCACCCAGGCTGGAGTACAATGGCATGATCTCTGCTCACTGCAACTTCTGCCTCCCAGGCTCAAGCAATTCTCCTGCCTCAGCCTCCCAAATAGCTGGGGTTACAGATGCTCGCCACCATGCCTGGCTAATTTTTGTATTTTTAGTAGGGATGGAGTTTCACCATGCCAGCCAGGCTGGTTTTGAGCTCCTGAACTCAAATGATCCACCCGCCTTAGCCTCCCAAAGTGCTGGGATTACAGGCGTGAGCCACCGCACCTGGCTGAGGGCAATCGATTCTGAATAAATAGGTTGTGAATTGGAGATTTGCATTAACCCTGCCCAGGGCCGGGCTGTGTTTGCTGTAGCTGTGTGTGTGTATAACTTCAGATCCCTCTGTGACCTCCTTTTGTCTCCCTTTGTGGTTTTGGGCTTTCCTTTGCTGTTCCTCGGACAGCCTGTGTCTCTCAGGTCTCTTAGCTGTAATCCAGTTATCCCAGAGCTTGTCAGTTAGAGGGGAGGGAAGGGTTGGGGAGGGGCAGTTCCCTGGTCTCTGTCTTTGGACTTCATGGGGCCTGTGCCCCCATCCTGCCATGGCCTTCACAAGGGTTTCTGTCCTCGCTCCAGAGTGAGGTGCCACCCATCCCCCATCCCCCACCCATCCCCTCCCCATCCCCCACCCCTCCCCTCCCCACCCCATCCCCCATCCCCCATCCCTTCCTCATCCCCTCCCCATCCCCCCATCCCCCACCCATCCCCTCCCCATCCCCCACTCCCAGCCTCGGCAGGGATGCCTCTGTTCCTTGTCTGTGTCCTGGAGTCCAGCATGAAGACCTTTGCTTGTGAATACCCTTCCCTGGGACCAGGACCCTTGGGGAAATGCTTGATCCCACATCTGGAGTAGGAGAAGCACAGGTTGACCTTGGGAGCTGTTGCCCTGTATTGCAGCTGCTGTGTGCATGGGGCATGTAGGCCATGCATGGGTGTGGTGCTTCCATCCAGCTCAAAGTGCGTTGTCTGCTCTTAAGTGTTCTTGGCAACACGTGATCCCCAGTTCAAGGCTGGTGTGTATTAAGTTCTCATTTCTTTGGAGAGACAAAAAAGATGGAAAGCGGCATTGCTTGCTGAGCCCAGGGAATACAAAGGAAAGGCAGGCCGAGGGGGAAACCAGTGTCAACAGTGGAGGTGGCTCTCTGATAACCTCGTGGAGCTGGAGTTTGGAGTGCAAGTACTCAGACGTCCAGAAACCCTCTTTCTCTGTAACTCAGCTATCCATGGACGAAACCAAAGGAATGGCCTACATTTGCAACCCACTCTTGATTTCTCCCTTTTGCAATGCCAGGGAGCTGTGTTGGTCAGCGAAATATCGCATCCTGGGTGGCTTAAACAACAGAAGTGTATTTTCTCAGCACTCTGAAGGGAAGAAGACTGAGATCCGGGTCTCGGCAGGGCTGGGCTCTGTGGAGGCCACTCTCCGTGGCTTGCAGATGGAGCTTCTTTGCTGTGTCCTCACAGCATCGTCCCTCTGTGGGTGTCTGTGTCCTCATCTCCTCTTATATAGGACACCAGGCAGGTTGGATTAGAGCCCACACTGGTCACCTCATTTTAACTTTATCACCCTTTTTAAAAGGTCCTATGTCCCAAAACAGTCACATTCTTTGGGGCTTGGGGTTAGAGCTTCAACACATGAATTCGGGAGGAGCACGACTCTGCCTGTAACACCAGCAATGGATTCGGGCCTGTGGACTTCAGCAGCGCTGCCCTTTGTGTGGAAGTGACGGAGTCAGCCTGCCCCATAGGTTCCTGGGTGTGAGCTTCGGCCGCACACAAAAGGTCTATTTGGCGACTCTGGCCACGCTCTTAGGACAAAGGACATGGATTGACAAGTGGCGGGCACGGACGGAGGTGCAGATGATGTCCACGGACACGACAAGTCCATGAGGCCTGGGAGGGCCCCGGCCACCCTGGCCTCACGTTCCCTGAGTCTCTCCTGTAAGCCCAGCTTCCCACCCTTCAGGGTGTAGATGCCCATGTTAAAATCCAGATTCCAGCCCGGGAGGCCTGAGGTGGGCCTGAGACTCTGCATTTCCAGCAAACACCCAAGTGACGTGCCAGCATCCCTGTTCTCATGCCATCTCTGTGTGCGAAACCCTAACTCACTCGTGGCCGGTGCTCCTACCTCCTTGTCACTCTGCAGAGAATGCAGTGACGTCAAGTTCAATTGAAGGCTCGTGGCCAACATGCTCACGTGGACACCCACAAAGGGGCCACCCAGACTGTGGTATTTTATTGAGGAGCGACTAATATAGCTCCCTGGCGTTATAAATGGGAGAAATCAAGAGTGAGTTGCAAATACAGGCCATTCTTTTGGTTTTGTCCACAGATAGCTGAGTTACAGAGTAACTGTGTAGTCTGTGTGGTGCAGGGGGTGGCAGAGGGGAAGGGGCAGGTGAGGCTTGGCATGAGGGGCTTCTCATTGCAGGCGTCCGAGGGAGTTCAGTGGAGGAGTAAGACCCAGGGAGAGCCCAGCTGGGCTGAGGCTTGTTTTCTGCACATGGGTTGCTCCACCGTGAATAGTTAATGAACTAAGTGTCATTTTCACTAAATCTTTCCTTTGCACCAAACTCACTACCATTCTTCATGGAGTCTTTCTGGGGCTTCTGTTTGCAATGACTCATCTGGGGAGAGGACGGAAGGACAGTCAGTGTCCAGCTTGGTTGGTAGATGGGTAGGTCAGATGGAGATGAGAAAGACCTTTTCCCCTCATCACTCTCACGCAGTTAATCCAGAGCCCCTTAGAGAGGTTTACAACTGGAGCTGCTATTTAAAGGCCTAGATGAGAATGTAATAGTAATAATGATCCTCATTTTTATTCTCAGCTGACAGAGCAAGGGAATGTGTGTGAATGCTAATCCATGCACATACATGTCTATAAATATTCTGCATGGAACCATCTGTGTCTATGTCAAGCTAAACTGGGGTTCATACCAGGGTCTCCAACCATAGCCCATCCCCACTGGGGTCCTTCCAGCTCACTCGGCTTCTGGATGTACGACTCCCACAGGTGGAGGAAGGCCCCCAGAGAAGTCTGCTGAAAATTGTTATTCATGAATGGAGGTTGGACTTCTTCAGATACACTTCCCGAGTCTGTTAACATGGTGATGTGACGTTTGCCCTTCATGTTACTCATAGGGACTATTCTGTTAGCTACCAATTCTGCTGCTTTAAATAAAAACACCATTAAAAAACAAAAAGAAACAAATTGTAATAAAATATTTGCATACATATAAAATCTGAAAGACATATATCAAAATATAAAGGTCCTTCCTTTACAAATCAATAAATATACCTTTTTAAAAAAACAGACAAGACAGACATTAGACAAAAGGTGATACAAGAATGACCAATAAGCAAATTGAAAGCACTCAGTATCCTCGGCCATCAGGAAATGCACATTCATCATAATGGGATGCTGTGTGACGCACGTTGAAATAACTGGATGTGAAGATCCTGGCCCCACCCTGTGCCGGGAGGGTCTGGAACATCTGGAATATTCACGTCGCCGGCGGGGAGGAGGTGCACAGGCACAGGCACTTTGACCATAGCATGGCAGGTCCCCCACAACTATATGTACACCTGCCCTGTGCCCAGCAAAATGTAAATGTCTTCCACAAATAGTCCTGGACAGGGTCTCTCAAAGGGGCTTTAACTGTAACAGCCCACACCTGGAATTGTCCACAGTCCTGGGCGGGGTCACTCATAGTAACAGCCCACACCTGGAATTGTCCACAGTCCTGGGCGGGGTCGCTCACAGTAACAGCCCACACCTGGAATTGTCCACAGTCCTGGGCGGGGTCACTCACAGTAACAGGCCACACCTGGAATTGTCCAGCATTCCTCAACAGGAAACAGTTAAAGAAAGTGTGTCTAACCACACATGGAAGGCCACTGGGCAATGAAAATGCATGAACTTCTGGCGTCCACAATCTAGTGGATGAATCTCAAAAGATACTTCGAGCAAAAACACCGGACAGAAGCGTCCGTGCCAGCCCCGCAGGCTGCCTGTGTGCCAGGCTATCCCGTGCCATCTGATCCGGGAGAAGCAGGACTTTCTTGCACAGGTACTCAGCGCTGTGGCTGTGGGAGGAGCCGGGAGGGCCCTGGCGTGGGTGGGCTTGGGGAAACTGTAGGAGCTGGAAATATTTCATATCTTATTTGGGGTGTTGTTTACAGGGGAACTTGACAAACTCATCTAATGGTACAATCGAGACATCTGTGTAAATAAAGTGTCAAAAATCATCCTGCTGACATCCATGCTCCCCGCCCCACGGCACTTCCCGGCCCTCAGCCCTCCCGTGCGGCTCCTGCCCCCTGGCCAGGGCATCTCCCAGACCAGCGCTAGGCAGCAGGCACTGTCCTAACCCCAGAGCCTGTGGGCCTGGGGCATCAGTGAGGAGGAGGCTGAGGACTGATGGTTTGCAGGTTGCTCCGGGAGACCAGAAACCTGGTGAGGAGAGGCATTAGGAGGTGAGGTAGGAGGCGTTACGAAGGCCCCCGAAAGCTGCCTGTTTGTTTGGTTTTAGTGGGGAGATAGTTTTCCAGTACAGAATTTCTACCAGAGTGCCCCATACATAAAACATAACAATGACATGAGATGCTTTGGGGCAGCCTTGGGGTGGATGGGACCTGTGTCCCCCTCTGCAGTCCTCACAGGCGCCCCACGTGTGGGTCTCACGCTGAGATGCACCGAGCCAGCTGGAAAATGCCGGGTCAGGGGGCTGCTCAGGGGCGGCTTCTCTTTAGGTAAAGTCAGTGAATCCCGATGGCCAAGTGCGAGGCATCGGGGAGATCGCAGAAAGGGTCGAGGGACTCAGGCCCAAGCCTGGGGTGACAAAATCTTATAAGTGGAATCATAGAGTATGTAAGATGGCGTGTGTGTGTGTGTGTGTGTGAGAGAGAGAGAGACAGAGAGGAGAGAGGGGGTCTTGGTAACCTTTAGGTCACATTTGGCAGTTTAAACATAAACCTGCTTCCAAATTAACTGGCTTTGGAGACGTCTGTGACTCGTGGGCACACCCTGCCCCTGAGTGGAGAATCTCACCATCAGCTTCTCCGGCTGTTGACGCACTGATCGGCACCCACTGACACTGAAAGGATGCCGATTTGTTTCTGAACCGTGAAATGTTGATCTGATTCTGTGTCATGACATTCTGCTGACTTGCTTCTGAATCACGAAGCTTTGCTGGTTTGTTTCGGAATCATGAAGCTTTCTGATTGCCTTGCATGGAGACGTTTTAGCCCTCACGGTATG
The DNA here is from genome assembly GCF_000001405.40 of Homo sapiens. NCBI lineage: Eukaryota > Metazoa > Chordata > Mammalia > Primates > Hominidae > Homo > Homo sapiens. The sequence goes on from NT_187647.1 coordinate 23,353, forward strand.
ATCTGTGTGCACTGGCTGTGCCCTCCAACCTGTCCCCCCATGAGAAGGATGCCTCTGTTGTGAGGAGTCCCCTCCCTTCTCCTAAACTTTTCCAGAAAGTCTTCCACCTAGTAGCCGACCCCAGAACATGCTCAGTTCTGTGGGCGTCTTCCCAAGTGGATCCCCATGTTCAGCTTCCAATAAAACTTTATCCAGTCACTTCTGCCTGCACAGCCTTAGTTTCCATCAGAAGTCTACACGTGTGTATGTGTATAGACACACACACACACACGTGCACACGTGCACACACATGCACGTTTTGTGTCTGGCTATTTTCACTTACAATTTTTTTTTTTGTCAGCCTAACAGGTGAATCTGATTTTGATTCTTTAGATGCTGCCTAAGGAAGTTGAAGAAAAAAATTCCTTTTTTTGTAGTAGCTGGATCTGTATCCAAAATTTAACGTATTGTAGCTCTCCTGCTGTGCCAGGCTCAGTTTGTTTTAAAGATTTCCCAGAGGGGACGACTCAGAAAGAGGCTCTGAGGGTGTGGCATCCTCTGCACACTTTGGGTGCCACCAGCTGACGTGTGACTGTGACTTCACGGGTGGTGCCCCGGCCTCATATGCTTCGTGGTTCTCTGTCTCACTCCTGCTCACGGGCGATGCCCTGGCCTCACGTGCCTCGTGGTTCTCTGTCTCACTCCTGCTCACGGGCGGTGCCCCGGCCTCACGTGCCCCGTGGTTCTCTGTCTCTCTCCTGCTCACAGGAAGTGCCCCGGCCTCACGTGCCCCGTGGTTCTCTGTCTCGCTCCTGCTCATGGGCAGTGCCCCGGCCTCACGTGCCCCGTGGTTCTCTGTCTCTCTCCTGCTCACAGGAAGTGCCCCGGCCTCACGTGCCCCGTGGTTCTCTGTCTCTCTCCTGCTCATGGGCAGTGCCCCGGCCTCACGTGCCCCGTGGTTCTCTGTCTCTCTCCTGCTCACAGGCGGTGCCCTGGCCTCACGTGCCCCGTGGTGCTCTGTCTCGCTCCTGCTCATGGGCAGTGCCCCGGCCTCACGTGCCCCGTGGTTCTCTGTCTCTCTCCTGCTCACGGGCGATGCCCTGGCCTCACGTGCCCCGTGGTTCTCTGTCTCTCTGCTGCTCATGGGCAGTGCCCCGGCCTCACGTGCCCCGTGGTTCTCTGTCTCTCTCCTGCTCACAGGCGGTGCCCTGGCCTCACGTGGCCCGTGGTGCTCTGTCTCGCTCCTGCTCACCTGCCGGGCTTTCGTCTCTGCCCAGGGATGAAACCATCATGTGGCTTAATTGATATTTTGTGAAAGCTGCAAATTATGTGTGCAGTCCTGTCAATAATTCCTATTGGCTGACTTTCTCTCTTCTCCAATATTCTACAACCATATGTACAGTCAAAGCTGTCCACCTTTTACATTCATGATTGATGCTCCATAAATATGCTGGCTAGATAAAGCCGCAGCTGTTAGGCAAAGGAAAGAAAGACACATTTATCTGAGACCCAAGGCAGCTGTCAAGCAGTGGGAATGGCCCTGAAGGCCATAAAGAACCCAGAATGACTGACCGGGATCCGGGTGGACAGGAGCGGGGGGGTGGACTCTGACCCCACCCACCCCCACACCTCCTATCCTTGCACTGTTCCGGGGATGAAGTGGATTTTGGGAGCTGGGCATGGGGCACAAACTCTCTCTAACAGCTGTGGTGGAACCAGGGCTCACTGCAAACCCCCTTTCCTGTTGGGACGCCTCATGGGCTGGACCCCATGAGGGCTCTTCAGAAAGGTGAGAACACGCAGTAAGACCTTTCTCCAAAGTTACCAAAGATGACAGCAACCCACGGTTAGCACAATTTTATAAAGACTGAAAACTTGCTGAGCCTGTGTAGTTAATAAGTGGAGACACAAGGCAAAATCCAATGATAAGCAAGTGAAGATCCATCGTTATGCGATGAACAGTATTTCCATGAAGTTCTGCTTAGTGAGAATAGAGATCACATGCTCCCTTCCATTTTTCAAACATTATTTCTTGTTCTTGCGGTCTGGAAGAAAATGACTGAAAGATTACTTTGTTTCTCTTTGATTCACTTTAAAAGATGTGGGAAAGGGAACGCGAGCTGCCCAGCTGCCCGGGAGACCAGGTTACCTTCCTTTACCCCGGAAGGCAGCCTGCCCTGCTACAGCATTGCCTCATGCTCCGATCACCACACACATCAATGGCAGGAGGAGAGGGTCAGGATAACTCGGGACGGACTCCTCCCAGGAGCTCCCTGGGCGAAGGCGGTCCCATCGGGGAAGCGGGATTCCCTCCTCCAGTAGGGAAGAAGCACCCTCAGCAAGGAGACTGCCGAGGCGTGGGGACGCTCTGCTCTGCGTTTGTGGAAACCAGGCACTCGCCTGGCACAGGGTCTCGCACCCCGGTCTCGGTGCAGCCTTGTGTGGTTCTGGTGCTTGGGAGGGCGTGTTCCCCACGTGCCTACTGAGGAGCCGCTCCCTGGCTCAGGGCTCCTCCTCCACCCAACACCAGCATCTCCACATGGTCAGGTGCGGTTTTAAAAGCCGCGTTCTCAAGATATTCTTCACGTATCATGACATGTGCACAGGCAGAGTGCCAATCAAGTCCTTTCAGAGTACTCGGAGATCCAGTCACTGCGTTGGGTGTACTCGGAGATCCAGTTGCTGTGTTGGGTGTACTCGGAGATCCGGTCGATGGCGTTGGGTGTACTCGGAGATCCAGTCGGTGGCGTTGGGTGTACTCGGAGATCCAGTCGGTGGTGTTGGGTGTACTCAGAGATCCAGTTGATGGCATTCATTGTACTCGGAGATCCAGTCGATGGCGTTGGGTGTACTTGGAGATCCAGTCGGTGGCGTTGGGTGTACTTGGAGATCCGGATTGATGCTGAATATAGGGGGTCAGGAAGATGCAGTTCCTGACCGCTGGGTGTGGTCCCCGGAACAGCCAGGCTGCGCTGGGTGCTGAGGCCACTGCTGTCAATGAGGAGAGACCTGCTTTTGCAGGTGGATCAGAGAGTTCTGAACTCCTCTGTCATTTCATTAGGAAACAGGTTTTCAGGCCCTGGGCTGCAGCTCCTGGTGCTGAGAACTTTCCAGAAGGTTGGTGGCTCCTGTTCTACGCCTTGTCAGGGAAGATGTGGGTTCGCCCCAGGTGCTCCAGAAAGGTCGTGTTCTCTATGGAATGAAGACGGGTGGGCATAAGCGTGGGTCCGGGGCCACCCTCTGTCGTCCGCCGGCGTGTTTCTCATCCAGCCACGTCTCGGAAGGTCTGTGACTGCTGAAAACATTCTGTGCATGAACGTTGGGGAAGGAAACCCACCCAGAGGAGGGGCAGGCGCCACCCCAGGCGTCAGAGCACCAAGCCGCAGAGAACGGAGGCAGCAGGTGCCCGGGACACACCGGGGAGACCGCAGGAGCAGCCCGTGTCTTCTGTGGCTCAGTCCCGCGAGAAACTGGAGGCCAGCGCTTCACAGCTCCCATTTGCAGAGACCAGCTCCCGTGAATGAAGCAAACAACCTGATGTTTGCATTTGCAAGAGGAACTATGATTGTGCCAGGGATGGGGTCTTCAGGTTGTGCATGAGAGTCTGGGGTCCATGCGTGGAGAGGGAGTGGTGTCAGAGGGTCAGAGCCCATGGGCGGTTCTGGGACATGGAAGCTGGTGTCGAGTCAGTCGGGGACGTGGCCTCCCCAGCACAGCCAGGGTGAGTGTCCTCTCTCTCTAAGGCGAGGCAGGAGGGGCCTCTTGTTTCTCAGCCCCCGCAGCTCTGGCCACCCCAGGCTTATGGCACACGGTAATGGATATTTCTGAATGTCTCTTTGGCCAAATGAGTCTGGAAAATGATGTGCTAAGGTGCTCTTGGGATTGTTTTCATGGATCCCAGGTTCGTCGTGTGTATAATGTGGCAATCTGCACCGTAAACCCCGAGCTGCGCAGCCTGGCGCGGCGTGCGTCCGTAACGCATTTAACCACCATTTATTGTTGTTATTATCATTTTTATTATTGTCATTATTTGGGTAATAGTAAAGAAGTGTGCTTTATGTGGCTTTTCGTCATTTTTTAAGCCAAGTTGGCGGTTTTTTGTTTTATGCATGTTTCTCTTATTTTTAATTTCTTGAAATGTTCCTCCCTGGGTCCTCGAGGCAGATGATAAAATACATGTTATGCGTTTTTCACATTTCCAAAGAAAGAGTAGGGAAGTCCTGGAAAGATTTGCTAAATGTAGGAGCCAAGGATTTCAGAAAAAGCAATTTCTGTTTTTGCAGAAAGAAATCAGGCATTTCAAGTGAGTTACTATTTATTTAAGTTAATCATTTATTAAGCTATTTTCATATGGTGCCAATGTAATCACTGGACATACATGTTAAGTCTAGGAAAAAACTATCATTTTTATTAATTTAACTAATTAATTATCAGAAATGCTGAATTGTGGCCAAGGTATGTGGCATTAACTCATCAGAATCCCTAAATTTAGGACCAGATGGGGCTGGCGGCAGGACACTGACACTCCCGGGGCGTGGGACCAAGGGCCACAAAAGAGCAGGTCCCCTGAAACCCTGAGAGCTCAGCGGAGGCTGGGCCTTTGTTGAGAAACTGGTTCCCTTCACAGAAGAGCAGCCCTGGACACACCCTTTCCTCTCCACAGGCTCCGCTGCACCCACCTGGTGAACCTGACACCAGCTGGCGCAGAGGGAGGTGAGACCTATGTCCGACTCAGCTCTGCTGCAGTGGAGAAAGTGCCATACCTTGTGACCTAGTTCACCATTTCTCACCTCTGAATTTGTCTAAACTTCCTTCTCCATCTATTCATCTGTCCTTCTCTCCACTCACCTCTCTCTAAACTACCCATCCATCCATCCATCCATCCATCCACCCACCATCCATTCATCCATCCATCCATCATCCACCATCCACCATCCATCCATCCACCATCCATCCATCCATCCATCCATCCATCCATCCATGCATCCATCCATCCATCCACCATCCATCCATCCATCCATCCATCCATCCATCCATGCATCCATCCATCCATCCATCCATCATCCACCATCCACCATCCATCCATCAATCATCCACCATCCACCATCCATCCATCCACCATCCATTATCCATCCATCCATCCACCATCCATTCATCCATCCATCCATCATCCACCATCCACCATCCATCCATCCATCCATCCACCATCCATCCACCCACCATCCATTCATCCATCCATCCATCATCCATGCATCCATCCACCATCCATCCACCATCCATGCATCCATGCATCCATCCATCCATCCATCCACCATCCACCATCCATCCATCCACCATCCATCCATTATCCATCCATCCACCATCCACCATCCATCCATCATCCATCCATCCATCCATCCATGCATCCATCCATCCATCCATCATCCATCCATCCACCCATCCATCCATCATCCACCCATCCATCCATCATCCACCATCCATGCATCCATCCACCATCCATGCATCCATCCACCATCCATGCATCCATCCATCCATCCACCATCCACCATCCATCCACCATCCATGCATCCATCCACCATCCATGCATCCATCCACCACCATCCATCCACCATCCATGCATCCATCCACCATCCATCCCCATCCATCCACCATCCATCCACCATCCATCCATCCATCCATCCATCCATCCATCCACCATCCACCCACCATCCATCCATCCATCCACCATCCATCCATCCATCCATCCATCCACCATCCATCCACCATCCATCTATCCACCATCCATCCATCCACCATCCATCCATCCATGATCCATCCACCATCCATCCACCCATCCATCCATCCATCCATCCACCATCCATCCACCACCATCCACCATCCATCCATCCATCCATCCACCACCATCCACCATCCATCCATCCATCCATCCACCATCCATCCATCCATCCATCCATCCATCCACCATCCATCCATCCACCCATCCATCCATCCATCCATCCATGCATCTGTCACTCTGTTCTTCTACCCACCCATTTAGCCACCCACCTCTGTCCATCTGTCATCCCTGTCCAGCTATTTATACACATCAAGACGTAATCTGGCACTGCTGGGCAAGGTTAGTAAATAAACTCTGAAATGTTTTCCACAGAGGCAACCTTGGCACTCAAGTGACCAGAGTCGCCCTGTATTAGCTTCAGATGCTGTAACAAAATCCCCTAGACTGTGGCTTATCTGACAGGAATTCATCCCTCAGAGTCCGGAGGCTGGAAGGGCCAGGGCTGGCAGGTGCCACGTTTGGTCTCTCTCTGTGGCTTGAGGATGGCCCCCTTCTCCGTGTGTCCTCACATGGCAGGGAGAGAGACAGCTCCGGCCTCTTTCTCATCCTATAATCACCCCACAGAGGCTCCACTCCTAATCCCATCACGTTGGGGTTAGGGCTTCAACACGTGGGTTTTGAGGGGACACATTCCGTTCCCCCTGTATTCAGCATCAATCAGGGGAAGGAAGATGAAGTATGAAATCGCCAAGCTGTAAAACCCTAAAAGGGAAAGTAAACGCTCCTCTGCCAGTGGCTTTGGGCTTTAGTTTGACGTTTTGAAATTCAGACCTAAACCAGGTCTTTGACATTTGATACGGTTTGGATCGTATCCCTGCCCACGTCCCACGTGGACGTGGAATCTCCAGCGTTGAAGGCGGGGCCTGGTGGGAGGTGATTGGATCACGGCCGGCGTTCCCACAAATGGCTTCGCACCGTCGCCTCCGTGACGCCCTCGTGACACTGAGTGAGCAAGTTATTGTGAGACCTGGTCGTTTGAAACTGAGTTGGGGCCCAGCTCAGCGGGCACGACCCTGCTCTGGGCCACGCTTACGCGCTTGTTCCTAACGCAGCCCGTCTCTCCCTCCCGAAGAGCCTGCTTCCCTCACCTTCGCCAGGACTGAAGGTTCCCTGAACTCCCCAGAGGCCGAGCAGAAGCACGAGGCTTCCTGTACAGCCTGCAGAACCGTGAGCCAATTAAACCTCTTTCCTTGATAAATGACCCCTCTCAGGCATTTCTTTATAGCAGGGTGAGAACAAATGAATACACCATTCTAAGTATTAATATAATAACTTGTCCGCTGGTCTCACAAAACCTACCCTTGCTGTATATTAACTTTGTGATAATGCGTATTAATTTATAAGTGCATTTTAAATTCTTTGGCAATTTTTATTTTTATAAATTAGATATGTCCTTAGTTCTTTTTACATTTGATGAAAACATTGAGTCTTCCAATGAGTGTCATAACAAAATAGGTTTTTTAAACTTTGTATACAAATGTTATATACAATATTATAGAGAGATATTTTATAGAATGTGCCCAATGTTGAGAAGTTAAAATATTTTTATTTTGCATTGGGTAGAAAAAAAGGAAATGGGATAGATGCAACCTCTATTAAAAGACATTTCTCTTCCACTTGCAACCGTGATGTGTAACCAGCAGCGCAGGGGTCACGACCTTCCTTCACACATGCAAAGGGTAAGGAAGACCCCGGCCAGCAAGACACTTCTTGAGTGGGGGATTTTTAACATTGCGCTGAAATGGAAATGCCAGCTCTGTAGAAGGCATCATATTTTTAATTTTTAATGTAATGTAATTTATTTTAAAGACAGGATCTTGCTCTGTCACCCAGGCTGGAGTGTAGTGGCACGGTCAGTCACGGCGCACTGCAGCCTGGACCTCCTGGCCTTAGGGTTCCTCCTACCTCAGCCTCCTGAGTAGCTGGGACTCCAAGCACATGCCACCATGCCTGGCATATCATTAAAAAAACCTACACTTTCTTTTATCTGTTTTAAATAATATTTTAATTATGCATTAGATATTTTAGTGTTTTTGTGCGTGGAAGTGGCTTTTGAACATGTACTAGGAATTGCCTAATGGTTTCAAAATGCACATTTTTAAAAGCATCTTTGCTCTTTATCTAAGAAATGCTGGATATCATTTTACAAGGTTAATTATTTGATATATTTGGATTATTATAATAAGTGTTTTAGTTATCCTATGTATACTGAAAACACATTGCTGTAGTATCACGTAGCTGTGTAACAATTACTTAAATGATTTGTGTTGTCCATTTGTATTTGAACTTTTCTGGATGGAAATGTTTATACTCGGCTTACCTGAGATGGAAAACACTTCTGTCTGGGGTTTGAAGAGGGCAGGGTGTTTGGCGCTAGTGACGTTTGCACCCGGGATTCTGGGTCTCCCCAGGACCCGTGGGCGGATTCAGCCTCTCCCAGCCTCCGCCCCTGCTGCCCCAGCTGGGACCAGTTCCCAACTCAAGGCTTAGTCCCAAGCCTGGTTAGCAGAAGGTCAGCTTATTCCCTTGAGTCCCCTAGTGTCAAATGAGAGGCCCTTCCTCCTCTCATCACGGAGATCGAGATTGCGCTCCCTGTACTCGACGGCCAGCCACTGCATGAACCACTGACGGAGCAGCTCAGATGACAGACACCCCCGTCCCCAGCTCCTAAGGTGGCTCAGACCACAGACACCCCGTCCCCAGCTCCTAAGGTGGCTCAGACCACAGACACCCCGTCCCCAGCTCCCGAGGGGGCTGAGATGACAGACACCCCCATCTCCCAGCTCCTGAGGCTGGACATCCAAGGCCAAGACACCCAAGGGCTTGTTCCTTCCAAGGCTGCGAGGGAGGCCTGTGCTTGGCCGTCTTCCCCCGTGTCCTCACCTTGTCTTTCCCTTGTGCGTGTCTTTATGCCCAAATTTCCCCTTTCCATGAAGACCCCATTTGCACTGGATCAGGGTGCACCCTAATGAACTCACTGTAATTTGAACTCTGTGAAGACCCCATCTTCAAACAGTCACAGTCTGAGGTCCAGGAGGTTCAGTCTCCAGCATGTCTTTTTGGAGGGGCCCAGCTCAGCCGGCACGACCCTGCTCTGGGCCACGCTTATGGCGTCTGTCCCTTACGCGGCACCACAGCCACCGCACCGCGACGCCACGCACTGACACATCCCCCTGGGGGCTGGGACTCTGCTGGACATTTCCCAAGTTATCCAATTGGTTTCTGAGTCTCTCAAGGATTCTTGAGAACAATGAATATCTCCTTTCAGGACAGAACTCCTGGCAGCTTCTGCTGGGTCCACTCCTTCACCTGGAGCCGACCCTGCCTGCTGGGCTCTTGGCCACTGGCAGTTGCAGAAGGAGATGGGGTGGGGAGGGGCCCACCATTCTCCTCACATTCTGATTCTTGCTGAGGTGGTGACTAAGGCTTCACTCGGTACCTCTGCGATAGGGGAGAAGGTCACACTCAACTCTGAATAGAGCAAAGGCGGCTGACTTGTGCCGATGAGCACAGTTGGGGGACAGAAAATGACCAGGAGGAGATGTCGAGGCACAGGTTTCTTGTTGAGGGCAGGGCAGCGGGATCAGACAGGAAGAGTGAGGATGGGGAATTTGGTCAGACACCAGGAGTGGAGTGTTCTGGATGAATGGATGTCACAGGATTCTTGCTAAGGCTGGGCAGGCCCAGCAAGCTCAGGGTGGACACAGAAGGTCAAGGTCCAGGCGTGTCGGAGAGGCTCAGAGGAGCCCGAAGGAAGGAAGGCTGGTCCAGGAGGGACCTTTGCCACCACTGAGGTCCTCTGACGCCACCTCATCTGCTCGACCTGACAACATTTCCCCCCGGGGAGGCGGTGGTGCAAGTGTGGAAGTGTCTCCTGGACTGACCGCCCGCCCTCATCATTGGATTCCATCTGCAGGTGCTGAAGGTGCCCTGCACAATGGGAAACGGTTGGAATTGGAACTTTAACCAGAGTGATAACCGTGAGAGTTACCTTGCAAAGTGCCTCCGCCTGTTCCTTTTATTTCAGAGTCGGCTGCTCCCACACTCTGTGTCCAAGACTCTCGGACGTGAGGCTGAGAGCGGGAGTGGCAGAGCCTTCTTTAGCTTCACCTGCAGCTGCCGGCCACGTGCTCTGACACCTCTGAGGCCTACATCTCCAGATCGCACCTTCCATGGGTCCTTGCTTTGTATTTTCCCGCAACTGGACTCATGCCTCCTTTCTCATTCTGCAAACCTGCCAAGGCCATGCAGGCACTCTGGCTCTCAAAACCAGCTGGGATGCCAGGACTGAGGCTCACTCTGAACCACCTGCGTGCCCAGGGCTGGGCAAAGACCTGGTGCAGCCAAACCTCAGAGGAGGAAAGGCAACGTTGTGAGCAAATTAGAAAGGGGTCGGGGGAGAAATTCATACACACATACACATATACATGCATACACACATGTATACACACACATGCACACGCACACACACATACATATATACACACATACATGCATACACACATACACACATACACATATACACACATGCACATGCACATACACACATACACGTATACACACATGTATACACACATACACACATGTACACAATACATACACATACACACAGGCACATTGGTATATACAAGTATACATAGAGCTGATCTCAGTTTACACAAAGCAGTCTTTTCAAATGTTTGCCTTAGAATAAACAATCTTTCTCTAGTATTTTTAAAAAATAAAACCAAAGACACTGACAAGTCTGATGCAAAGAACGAAGCTGCTGCTGATCCGCCTGCTTCTACATGGGCAAGATTGACTCTGGGTAAAAACAAGAGAAAGCAGGGAAAAGTTGAAAATAGGGACAGAGCCAGCCTACAGACACTACCTTCCTATCCTTCCCTTCTCCCCTGCCTGCCTGAGGAGCAAAAAGCCTCGTCTAAGGGAGGCTGGACAGAATCTAAACAGATAAGCCAGCAGTGAAACCGCTTCCCGGGGCACGCACAGCAGGTGCAGTTGCTAGGTCAGCATCCCCTCCTCCCGGCCCACAGCTTTACTGGAGGAGAGCAGCAGGACAAAGCCAGGCTTACCTGGGCCACGCGGGGCCTAAGTTCTGCTGTGTGGGAAGGGTGGGTGCTGGAGAGGAGTCCCTGTGTGCAGGGCATGGGTCTCACCTTGGCTTCTGTCAAAGCTCAGCCTGCACGGCGTTCCCAGGATGCAGCTGGTGATCGCATCCGTCCTAGGAGGACACAGTAACTGGTATCCAGGGCACTCCTAATGTGGCGTCTGATGCCTGGGGGTCTCTATGGTAATCTCGGCTCACTGCAACCTCTGCCTCCCGGGTTCAAGCGATTCTCCTGCCTCAGCCTCCCGAGTGGCTGGGATTACAGGCATGCTCCACCATATCCAGCTAATTTTTCTAGTTTTAGCAGAGACGGGGTTTCACCATGTTGGCCAGGCTGGTCTTGAACTCCTGACCTCAAGTGATCCACCCACCCTGGCCTCCCACAGTGCTGGGATTGCAGGTGTGAGCCACTGCGCCCAGCCCACCAGCCTCCTTCTCAATGTGCTTTGTAAAACTTGCTCACAAGCATTTTTTGAATCTTGTCTAACAATTGACACACTGGTCATAAGCAGAATTTGCTTCTCAGAGGAATTCACACTGTATTTCTTGACAATATTCTTTTGCGGGACCCCCAGGGTTCCCATGGCACAGCTGCGGTGGACACTGTGAGACCTCCGTTGTCCTGGGGAGTGGGTGGTGGCCTTCGTCGCAGGCAGGGCTGGTCAGAGGCGACGCCTGTCCTGGCCTGCTTGTCACAGCCAGGTAGGCACCAGGCCAGAAGCTGCAGAGCCCAGGCAGTATTGCTCACCTGTCCAGCGCGCTGTCCGTATTTATGGGAAGTTTTCATACACGCATGCAATGTGTGATGTTCAAATCAGGGTCGCTGGGATGCCCACCGCTTCAGACATGATTTCTTTGTGTTGGGAACATGACTTTCTCTTCCAGCTCTCTGAAATACACAATAAGTTACTGTGAACTCTACTCACCCTACCATGCTCCTGAAGGCTGCAACGTATTCCTTCTATCTCACCATACGTTTGCACCCATTCACCTGCTCCTGAAGGTTGGAACATATTCCTTCCATCTCACCATACGTTTGCATCCGTTCACCTGCTCCTGAAGGCTGGAACGTATTATTCCTTCCATCTCACTGTACACTTGCGCCTGTTCACTGACCGCTCAGCTTTTTCCTGCTTCTGCCTGTGAGTTTGGAAGCGACAGAGGATACGCTGTTTATGCGTTGGAGCTAACACTAGAATTGCTAATTATTTTTATCATTACATTTTACTTTATTTTGTAACTTACTAGCTAAACTCATTGCTGTGTTAATTTTGTGGTTGCTTTGGGTTTCTGATACACATGGTTAACATACCACAGTCTTCCTCCGAGCAACGCTGTGCCATTTCACGGCAGTGAAAGGCCCGGGAAGGATCCCCTGCCATTGTCTGCCCGCAGCCACAGTGCTATTACCAACGTACGTTTTATTCTATGCGTACTATAAACCCAACGATGCGCTGATACTAAACTTGTTTTAGGAGGTCAAGTATGTTTTAAGTAGATGAAAATAATGAGAAGTATTTTCTGCGAAGCGTGCAGGAGCCATTTCCCATATTCTCTTCCCTTGCTGGAGGGCCAGCTCCTTACCCGGCGCCCTTGACTTCATTCGGTGGATGTCCCCGTAAGTGCGTGCCGCCAACACTGGCCATGGATGTCGTCATCTTTTCTGCTTGTGAAAATGTCTTCGTAGCACCCTCATTTTGGAAAGATAAACCTGCTGAAAAAATGTTCCAATTTGACCGTGTATTCTCTCGTTAGTTAAGACCTCCCACTCTGCCCGTTTGCTGGGTTTCTTGGCTGTTTCTCTCTGCAGTGTGCCCTTTTGCTGGGTCTGCGAAGCAGGAGATTTTGCCATTTCATTAGAATGTTCCCTGACGTGCTTTTCTTCATGTTTCCTGTGCTTGGGGTTGCTGGAGCTTCCTGGATCTGTGTTGATAGTTTTTATGAAATTTTGATGTTTTGGCCAGTTTTTTCCTACACATTTTCTTATTTTTCCCCAAATCCACTCTCCTTTGTGGACATCAACTTTGAGTATATGAGGCTTTGTGAAGCTTGCCACAGCTCACAGGTCCTCTGTCTCCGTTTGAGGGGTCTCTGTGGCCGTCTTCAAGTGAACCGATTTCTTCTTTTGCAATGTTCACTCACCCTCCACCCCACCAGATTTGTTGTGTTTTTATTTCTGACACTGATGTTGTTATCTTCAAACTTTGATTTTGGCCTTTCTGATTTTCCCTGGCTCTATTTAATGCGTCCTCTCTTCCCTCTTCCTTCCTGAACATCCGGAACACGATCCATATGGCTGTTTTAAAGTCTGTATCTTCTATTTCTATTGTCTGTTCTGTTTCTGGGTCAGTTTCCATAGATTGATTGATTCTCCTCTTCTTGGAGTCTATCGACCAGGGGCTCGGGGTGGGTGGCTGTCCAGACACCCTGTGCTCCTCTCCAGAAGGAAGTCTTATGAGACCACTGCTCTCCCAGAGGGCAGAGGAAGCTGCTCAGCTCTCACAGCATCCACAGGACCCCCCAAAACCCCTGCCCAATCCTGGGTCTGAGTCCCTCCTCTGAATACACAAGGCCTGAAGACACAGCGTTCAGAGGAAGGAGCTCAGACCTCCCCGATCAAATGGTATCTTCTTTGAAAGAATATGGCGCCACATTTGGGGTTGTCAACTGCGGCCAGGTCAGTACGTCTTCACTTTGATCAATTGCGGCCAGATCAATACGTCTGCACTCTGATTCCCACGTGTCTATGCCTCCCTGCTCCTCAATGCAGGGCCCTGGATGAAAGGAGTGAGTGCTGAGTTTTGTCTAAATCCAATCCTTGCAAGAGTCACTGAAAGTAGCATTATAAATTGTTTGCAAGAGGCCTTTGACACTGAAAACTTGGCCATGTGACTGTTGTCCAAAAATCCTGCTTTCACATCTATGAGTTGCTTATTTCTAAACTTTTTTGGTGAGAATAAAGTTATCTAATACTCAATGACTCAATGCTGTGTCATTTTTCTTTTATGGCACTTTGCATCAATCAGAGGAAATTTCCTCAGTTTTATTTAACAAGCACTCAGCTTTCATCAAAAATCGCAGCTCTTGAATCACGCTCAACACCCAAACTTAAACTTTACAAATGCGTTAAAAATTATGTAGTATCCTCCATGTGACTGTATCCATAACTGCCTTGAAACTCTTGCACAAAATAATATTATGAGTACTTTTTTTTCAATCAATGAGAATGCTTTCAGATCATTAAATCATATATGAAACGAACAGGCAGAAAGGTGTTAAGAAAGCAAAAGGAACCCTCTTTCTCCAATCTGTCCTGAATATTACAAACAATATTACAAATGATAGCATGTATAAATCTACACTCAGCCATCAGAAATAACGGCTGGTGCACACTCACCACCCGAGTCCTGTTCCTGAGGCTGTGCTGCCTCCTCCTGAGTGACGGGCAGTGCACACTCAGCTCTCAGGGCTTTCTTCCTGGGTTGTCGATGGGAAGCAGCATTCAGGAAGCCAGAGCCCAGTTCATGACACTGGGGTTTGCTCAACATTGCTCAGTGTCTGCTGTTTTCCCCCTGGAGACCTGGGCGGGACATGCCCTGGGAGACACCAGAATCAGGGCTCCCAGGGGTCAGGTCAGCGCTCGGCCCCTGACCTATTCCCTTGTGGACTTTCTGGGCAGGCTGGCGATCTCGGCGTGGTGAGAACACAGCTGCACGGGGTCTGTCCTGCTCTGTGGTCCAGGTGTGGTCCAGGTGAGCCCGCTCGCCAGCTGCAGACAGGATGAGAAGCTCATGAAAGAGGCTTCTGCAGGTGTGGTGGCCACAACGTTCTCTGACTCTGGGAGCTGATCCTAGTCTTGTAGCCGCTGGGCACAGACCCTCGGGCTGGATGTGAAGACCCCAGTCTTCTGCCGCCTTGTTCCGTGGTCCCCCCCGCCGAGTCCCAGATGGTGGATCTTCTTGTGTGCTACCAGAGGGTGGCAGGAGGGGACGCTGAGCCTGCCCCCAGCCCCCTGACTCCGTGTAGTAGCACATCCCGTATGCAGACTTGTGTTAGAATAGTCTATGTTGATAATGTGGTAAATTCTAGACTCAGGATAAATTAACTTAACATCTCTACCAGGGTGTAATGTAATATTGAACACATGTGTAACGTGCTTTAAAGGTGAGTCCACACTCCAGACCCAGCTCTTGTTCTTCCTACACGCTGATTACCTATACATTGTACCTAAATTGGCATATAACCCAAATAAACACCAAAGTATCATCCTTAGATCCATTTTGGGTGGAAAACCTCATAATTATCAGTCTTCTAAAGGCAAGTATTTACGTGCTTGGGCTCATAATTATTATCCTAATTGTGTCATTTTTTTAAGTCAAAAAATGCTAAACACAGAGCATGTAGAATCAGAAATTGCATAGATTTGCCTCAGAGAAAGACGCCCCTTTTTATAACAAACATAAAATATAAGACATCTGAAAAAAGCTGACCCTGAAAAATTATCTTATGGTCACATTTAGTTTCCTTTTTTCTAAAAAACTGTATTTTATGACTGTTTTAATGGAAACATTAAAATTTCTATTACATTATGGAGTAAAAGTGGTAGCTCATGCTAGTGTAATTATATGTAAATTATTCAACCTTTAAAGACAGCAGTGTCTCCTGAGTTTCAAAAAATACAATTTTTTATTTTAGCCTTCTCTCCAATATTAGGAGTATATTTTACTCTACCAAATTAAATAATTTAAGCTTAAAGTTGGATTTCCTTATGTAGCACTTTAAATATAAGAATCTCTTATAAGTCTAGCTACCTTCAAAAACAGTTGTGATAAAACAACTGTTTATGCCTCAGAAACATTTTTGAGATTTATATTCTGCTCCTTATGTTAATATTCCGAGGATTATATTCATCCCATTTTTAGTGGACCTCAAATTCATTTCATGAGAAGTAAAGACGCACTCAGCAGCAAAGTCAGACAGCTTGACATGTCATTAAAAACCTCATTCTCTTCCTGTTTCCCCTTCCACGGTGAATTTCTATGTGATATCTTATCACCTCCAGGGTGGAGAGATGAAATCAGCTTTTTGAATCACTCCTGAGAAAAGAGGTGTGTGAGAAAACACAACTGTGAAATGTCGTACCAGCCCAACCGAGGCACTGACAATCCCCTGGCCACTTCCCTCGGCTGATCGTCTTCTCGTTAATGCTTCTTAGTGAAATGCATTAATAGAATTTTAAAAAGGGTGCTCCATTTACTTTAGACTTGGGAAGAACAAATTCTCATCAACTCTTCTTTACCCAAAATACAAATGGCCGCTTTTTAATCTTCTCAAGGCCTATTTTCCTATTCGTTTAGCTTTTTGGTAAGCCTCATTCCCGAGCTGTGCAATTCATCCTCCTTGGTCTCCCTGCAAAAATTGTAGAAAAGGATGGAAATTTTCTCAGAAACACAACAAAACCTACTGGAGTTTTGAAAGGAGTTGCATTGAGTTACTGGTCAGCTTGAGGTGGACAGACTAAAGTGGAGTCTTTCAATGTAAAAACAGTATAGCTCTCGCGTGTTTAGGATTGACTTAATTTCTGTCAAAAACATCTCACAATTTTCTGTGTAAGGCTCTTACATATCCTGCTTAGATTTTTTCCTACCTATTTATAGTTTTCCAATTTCATTTTCTGTTTGTTTCTGATGTAAAATTGTGTTTTTGTTTCATTACCTTGTATCTAACACACTTACTCAACATATTAATTAATTCTCATAATCTTTCCATAAGTTCCTTGTGGTTTTCTATAAACACAATCATGCCATCTTTGAACAAAATGAGTTTATGTCTCATTGTCTAATATTTTAATTTTACATATGATGTGAGGTTATGATCAAAGTTTCCTTTCAGAATTCAAGTTTTCAACTGTTCCAGTGCAACTTATTAAAAAGATTATTCATTCCCCACTGAATTTCCTTGGGACCTTTGTTCAAAATCCATTGACCATATGTACCTGGGTTTACTTCTGAACTCCTGTCCTGCTCTGGGGACCTCTGTGTCCAGGCCACCCTCCAATGCCATGGGGACCTCTGTGTCCAGGCCACCCTCCAATGCCATGGGGACCTCTGTGTCCAGGCCACCCTCCAAGGCCAGGCTGCCCCAATGACGGTGGTCATAGTTGGTCCATCTGAGCTACACTGGATCTGCTTAAACTGTTCATTTCTTTTATTCTAAGGAGATTCTGCTGATATCTTCCTTCCTCCTGGGTATCTGATTATAATCAATTAAGTGTCAACCATTTTAGTAGAAAAATCGAAGAGGTAATTTTTCTTACTAAAGTGAGATAAGAAGAAAGAAAGAAGTAACATTTGCTCTGTAGGGCATCTGCACATTCTACTAAAACTTTGGGGTAATCTTGGCCCAGTTCCAGAGACTGAGTTGGCTTATGGGGAGCTGTGTTCACGGGGCGGACCAGCCTGGGGTCATGTGGATCTGGGCTCGGCCCCAAGCCCCTCACCAATGCTCAGCCTCTGCGGCTCTACCGTTGGGAAACAGCCCCAGGGGAGGCTTGTCCCTGAGTGAGCACTCCCCACCGGGGCCCTGTTCTACAGCATATTCTGACTCAGCAGCCCCTTCCTTACTATCAGCCCTCTCGCATCTTCAAGGATGTTTTCTTACATCTTTTTCCAGACTTTCGGTTGTTTTCTGTTGGAGGGTGGTATGGGGTTACTTGGTAGAGCAACACTCAAAGCCTTCCTTTTTAAACGAGTACAGACAGGTAGCAGTCAAGATAAAAACCAAAATAAAGAAATCAAAAAAGCCCAGAGGAAACAAATAATCAGAGAATACGGATAATTTCCAAAAAATATAATGACTACCCTCCAAGAGATGATGGGACTATGCATTCATGGAACAAGAACAGATTGCTGAGAATAATTATCCAAGTATTAAGTGTGGGAGCTTGATAAGGCTTGGCTCCGTGTCCGCACAAAATCTCCTGTTGACTCTTAGTCCCCAGCGTTGGAGGTGGGGCCTGGCGGGAGGTGCTTGGATCTCAGGGTGGATTCTCATGAATGAGCTAGCACCATCCCTTGGCACTGTCCTCGAGACAGTGAGTGCGTTCTCATGAGATCTGGTCATTTAAAAGTGTGTGGCAGCTCCCACCTCGCTCTTGCTCCTGCTCTGACCCTGTGAGACGCCTGTTCCTGCTTTGCCTTCCACCATGATTGGAAGCTTCCCGAGGCCTCCCCAGAAGCAGAAGCTGCCATGCTTCCTGTGAAGTCTGCAAAACTGTGAGCCAACTAAACCTCTTTTCTCTATAAATTACCCAGTCTGGGGTATTTCTTTATAGCAATGTGAGACTGGATTCATACAGAGCTCTTCCTGAGAGAAAAAAGAATGCGAAACACAGTGAGTGATCAAAGGATCAGGCAGGAAGTTCTAACATTTGAGAAGGGCCTGGGAAGGCGGAGGTGGCAGACAGCATGGGAGACAGTCAGCAAGAGGGCGGAAGACACGTCCCAGGCCCCGGCAACGGAGGGTCCCAGCGTGAGAGGACTCCCAAGGCTGGAGCTGGGTGAGAGGGGAAGAGAACCCTTTGAGGCATCCTGGTGACTCCTTAGGGGAGGGGACCCTGTGCACTTCCAGAGAGAGAGAGGGGATTTCCCAGCCCTCACACATCTGAGGGCCTGGGGCGAGGGGGTGCTGCCGCAGTGGCACCGTTCCCCTCAGACTCGCTCATCAGGACTTCAGCACTGCCCGTCCATGGGGACGTCTGCACTCACAGTGTCCTCGGCACTGCCCTCCGTGGGGACGTCTGCACACACACTGTCCTCGGCACTGCCCGTCCATGGGGACGTCTGCACTCACAGAATGTCCTCGGCACTGCCCTCCGTAAATGGGGACGTCTGCACTCACAGTGTCCTCGGCACTGCCCTCTGTAAATGGGGACGTCTGCACACACACTGTCCTCGGCACTGCCCTCTGTGGGGACGTCTGCACTCACAGAATGTCCTCGGCACTGCCCGTCCATGGGGACGTCTGCACTCACAGTGTCCTCGGCACTGCCCTCCGTGGGGACGTCTGCACACACACTGTCCTCGGCACTGCCCTCCGTGGGGACGTCTGCACTCACAGTGTCCTCGGCACTGCCCGTCCATGGGGACGTCTGCACTCACAGTGTCCTCGGCACTGCCCTCCGTGGGGACGTCTGCACACACACTGTCCTCGGCACTGCCCTCCGTGGGGACGTCTGCACTCACAGTGTCCTCGGCACTGCCCTCCGTAAATGGGGACGTCTGCACTCACAGAATGTCCTCGGCACTGCCCTCCGTGGGGACGTCTGCACTCACAGTGTCCTCGGCACTGCCCTCCGTGGGGACGTCTGCACTCACAGAATGTCCTCGGCACTGCCCTCCGTGGGGACGTCTGCACTCACGGAATGTCCTCGGCACTGCCCTCCGTGGGGACGTCTGCACTCACAGTGTCCTCGGCACTGCCCTCCGTGGGGACGTCTGCACTCACAGTGTCCTCGGCACTGCCCTCCGTGGGGACGTCTGCACTCACAGAATGTCCTCGGCACTGCCCTCCATGGGGACGTCTGCACTCACAGTGTCCTCGGCACTGCCCTCCGTGGGGACGTCTGCACTCACAGAATGTCCTCGGCACTGCCCTCCGTGGGGACGTCTGCACTCACAGTGTCCTCGGCACTGCCCTCCGTGGGGACGTCTGCACTCACAGTGTCCTCGGCACTGCCCTCCGTGGGGACGTCTGCACTCACAGAATGTCCTCGGCACTGCCCTCCGTGGGGACGTCTGCACTCACAGTGTCCTCGGCACTGCCCTCCGGGACGTCTGCACACAGTGTCTTTGGCCCAGCTCGGGTTAGGAGCACTCGCTCTGGAGGCCTGACTGTGCTTTTGTAAATTTTCACAAACAGTCACTCAATAGGTTTTATTTTTTGTTTCCAATGATTCAATGACCAATTCTGCTAAATTTCACACAGCCGAAACACTTGAGAAAATTGGTAGTAAAGAACATTTGGAATCCCTGAGGATTTTCAGAGTTGAGCGTGTGTGGTGGTTAGCTGTATTCCTCCACTGGGCTGGGCCACGGTGCCCGGGTCTGATGGGACATTACTCTAGAGGCCTCTGGAAGGCGTTGGATGGGTGGGCTGTGAGGAAAGAAGATGAGCCTGCATAGCGTGGGTGGGTCTCCTCCGATCCGTTGAAGGCCTGACTAGAACAGAGATAACACCCTGCACCAGGAAGGAACTCTGCGTCCGACGGCTTCAGACTAGACTGGCAGTGCTGGCTCTTCCCCGGGTCTCCAGCCGAGGGTCCACCCTGCAGACCTTGGACCTGCCGGCTTCCACGGTCACACAAGCCAATTCCCTAAAGATAAATCTCTCTCTGTGTCTCCCTCTTTAACAAAAGGCCACCTTTAACCTTTAACAAAAGGCGACCTGCTGAGAAGTCCTTGTGCTCTGTGCTTTGAACTGGACATCAACAAACAACATGGCACTTAGTGTTTTTAAACTGACCAAGGGACAAGCCTGGAGCAGCCTCTTCCGGGGCCTCGATTAACCAGGAGGAGGTGGCTGCTGTGCCCCAACCCAGGTGACAGATTCGGGTGCCGGCACCTCCCCTGAGTCTCAGAGTCCAGGGAGTCACAATTCTACAGGGACAACAGAAACACACAAAAGTGGGCATAAAATAATCATCGATAGAAGGTTTGTCACTTTGATGTCTCTGTGAACTGATTTAATGTGGTATAGAAAGATGGTCCCGTTACTTTAGAGGTGGTTAGATATCTCTGTATAATGCCTGTATATAATAACTCTTACGTGATATAGAAAGATGGTCCCATTACTTTAGGGGTAGTTAGATATCTCTGTATAACACCTATATATAATAACTCCTATATGATACAGAAAAATGTTCTCATTACTTTAGAGGTAGTTAGATATCTCCATATAATGCCTGTATATAATAACTCTTATGTGATATAGAAAGATGGTCTCATTACTTTGGGAGTAGTTATAAATCTCCCTATAATGCCTGTATATAATACTCATATGTGATATAAAATGATGGTCCCATTACTTTAGGGGTACTTGGAAATCTCTGTATAATGCCGACATATAATTCTCATGTGTGATGTAGAAAGATGGTCCCGTTACTTTAGGGGTAGTTACAGATCTCTGTAGAGCTCCTGTGTGTAATACCCATATACTATGCCTCTGTTGATTCAGATAGATCAATTACTTCATAGAATGAATCTGCGTGTCTATTTTTAGGTGGATGAGTTGCTATGTTTTACCATTACTATTCTTGCTACATTAGTTCAGCTTCTACAGGTAACCAAATGATTTTCATTATCGTATATTTATAATGTCTCATCCAGTTATTTTCTGGAATGAGAGTACAAATAAATGTATTTCTCAAGCTGAAAACATACTTGTTTCTCAGACAAAATCCACTGAGTTTGCACTTGCCATTAGTGAAAAATGCCGTAAAAACCCATACCCCTGCTGAGGCCTCGGAACCTGAGAGGTGTGGCCTGTCTCCTCTAAGCCGTTTATCATCCGTGGTCCACAGACACATCAGAGAGTCTCCAAACGCTTTCCTGATTGCTTCTCCCAAGTACCCCGGACAGGCACTGTTGTTGGCACCAGGGAACACCCCGGGGAACAGAGCAGATCCAACACCAGGCCCAGGAGAGTCGCCTCCCGGTGACGCCTGAGATGTCTGTGGACTCCAGGCAATACTTGTGCAAGAGGCCGTGGGGGCCAATGGGGCATGATAGTGTGACCTTCAAATTACCAGTGTGCACGGCACACGGAAGGAACACACAGTGTGACCACGTGATTGCCTGTGCATACGGGGGGAACACAGAGTGTGACTACGTGATTGCCAGTGCGTACAGGGGGAACACACAGTGTGGCTGCGTGATTGCCAGTGCGTACAGGGGGAACACACAGTGTGGCTGCGTGATTGCCAGTGCGTACAGGGGAACACACAGTGTGACCGCGTGATTGCCAGTGCGGACGGGGGAACACACAGTGTGACCGCGTGATTGCCAGTGCGTACGGGGGGAACACACGTGATTGCCAGTGCGTACAGGGGGAACACACAGTGTGACCGCGTGATTGCCAGTGCGTACAGGGGGAACGACACAGTGTGGCTGCGTGATTGCCAGTGCACACGGGGGGAACACACAGTGTGGCCGCGTGATTGCCAGTGCGTACAGGGGGAACACACAGTGTGACCGCGTGATTGCCAGTGCGTACAGGGGGAACACACAGTGTGACCACGTGATTGCCAGTGCGTACAGGGGGAACACACAGTGTGGCTGCGTGATTGCCAATGCACACGGGGGGAACACACAGTGTGGCCGCGTGATTGCCAGTGCGTACAGGGGGAACACACAGTGTGGCTGCGTGATTGCCAGTGCACACGGGGGGAACACACAGTGTGGCCGCGTGATTGCCAGTGCGTACAGGGGGGAACACACAGTGTGACCGCGTGATTGCCAGTGCGTACAGGGGGAACACACAGTGTGGCCGCGTGATTGCCAGTGCACACGGGGGAACACACAGTGTGGCTGCGTGATTGCCAGTGCATACAGGGGGAACACACAGTGTGGCCGCGTGATTGCCAGTGCACACGGGGGGAACACACAGTGTGACCGCGTGATTGCCAGTGCGTACAGGGGGAACACACAGTGTGGCTGCGTGATTGCCAGTGCACACGGGGGAACACACAGTGTGGCCGCGTGATTGCCAGTGCGTACAGGGGGAACACACAGTGTGACCGCGTGATTGCCAGTGCGTACAGGGGGAACACACAGTGTGGCTGCGTGATTGCCAGTGCACACGGGGGGAACACACAGTGTGGCTGCGTGATTGCCAGTGCGTACAGGGGGAACACACAGTGTGACCGCGTGATTGCCAGTGCGTACAGGGGGAACACACAGTGTGACCGCGTGATTGCCAGTGCGTACAGGGGGAACACACAGTGTGACCGCGTGATTGCCAGTAGCGTACAGGGGGTAACACACAGGGCTGCGTGATTGCCAGTGCGTACAGGGGGAACACACAGTGTGGCCGCGTGATTGCCAGTGCACACGGGGGGAACACACAGTGTGGCTGCGTGATTGCCAGTGCGTACAGGGGGAACACACAGTGTGGCCGCGTGATTGCCAGTGCGTACAGGGGGAACACACAGTGTGACCACGTGATTGCCAATGCACACGGGGGGAACACACAGTGTGGCTGCGTGATTGCCAGTGCACACGGGGGGAACACACAGTGTGGCTGCGTGATTGCCAGTGCGTACAGGGGGAACACACAGTGTGACCGCGTGATTGCCAGACACACAGTGTGGCTGCGTGATTGCCAGTGCACACGAGGGGAACACACAGTGTGGCTGCGTGATTGCCAGTGCACACGGGGGGAACACACAGTGTGACCGCGTGATTGCCAGTGCGTACAGGGGGAACACACAGTGTGACCACGTGATTGCCAGTGCGTACAGGGGGAACACACAGTGTGACCGCGTGATTGCCAGTGCGTACAGGGGGGAACACACAGTGTGGCTGCGTGATTGCCAGTGCATACGGGGGGAACAGTGCGTACAGGGGGAACACACAGTGTGACCGCGTGATTGCCAGTGCGTACAGGGGGAACACACAGTGTGACCGCGTGATTGCCAGTGCGTACAGGGGGAACACACAGTGTGACCGCGTGATTGCCAGTGCGTACAGGGGGAACACACAGTGTGACCGCGTGATTGCCAGTGCACACGGGGGGAACACACAGTGTGACCGCGTGATTGCCAGTGCGTACAGGGTGTGGCTGCGTGATTGCCAGTCGCGTACGAGGGGAACCACACAGTGTGACCACGTGATTGCCAGTGCGTACAGGGGGAACACACAGTGTGGCCGCGTGATTGCCAATGCACACGGGGGAACACACAGTGTGGCTGCGTGATTGCCAGTGCGTACAGGGGAACACACAGTGTGACCACGTGATTGCCAGTGCGTACAGGGGAACACACAGTGTGACCGCGTGATTGCCAGTGCGTACAGGGGGAACACACAGTGTGGCTGCGTGATTGCCAGTGCACGACGGGGGAACACACAGTGTGACCGCGTGATTGCCAGTGCGTACAGGGGAACACACAGTGTGACCGCGTGATTGCCAGTGCGTACAGGGGAACACACAGTGTGGCTGCGTGATTGCCAGTGCACACGGGGGGAACACACAGTGTGGCTGCGTGATTGCCAGTGCGTACAGGGGGAACACACAGTGTGACCACGTGATTGCCAGTGCGTACAGGGGGAACACACAGTGTGACCGCGTGATTGCCAGTGCGTACAGGGGAACACACAGTGTGACCGCGTGATTGCCAGTGCGTACAGGGGAACGACACAGTGTGGCTGCGTGATTGCCAGTGCGTACAGGGGGAACACACAGTGTGACCACGTGATTGCCAGTGCGTACAGGGGGAACACACAGTGTGACCGCGTGATTGCCAGTGCGTACAGGGGGAACACACAGTGTGGCTGCGTGATTGCCAGTGCGTACAGGGGAACACACAGTGTGACCGCGTGATTGCCAGTGCGTACAGGGGGAACACACAGTGTGACCGCGTGATTGCCAGTGCGTACAGGGGAACACACAGTGTGGCTGCGTGATTGCCAGTGCACACGGGGGAACACACAGTGTGGCTGCGTGATTGCCAGTGCGTACAGGGGGAACACACAGTGTGACCGCGTGATTGCCAGTGCGTACAGGGGGAACACACAGTGTGGCTGCGTGATTGCCAGTGCGTACGAGGGGGAACACACAGTGTGACCGCGTGATTGCCAGTGCGTACGAGGGGGAACACACAGTGTGACCGCGTGATTGCCAGTGCGTACAGGGGGAACACACAGTGTGACCGCGTGATTGCCAGTGCGTACAGGGGGAACACACAGTGTGGCTGCGTGATTGCCAGTGCATACAGGGGGAACACACAGTGTGACCGCGTGATTGCCAGTGCGTACAGGGGAACACACAGTGTGACCGCGTGATTGCCAGTGCGTACAGGGGGAACACACAGTGTGACCGCGTGATTGCCAGTGCGTACAGGGGGGAACACACAGTGTGGCTGCGTGATTGCCAGTGCGTACGAGGGGGAACACACAGTGTGGCCGCGTGATTGCCAGTGCGTACAGGGGGAACGACACAGTGTGACCGCGTGATTGCCAGTGCGTACAGGGGGAACACACAGTGTGACCGCGTGATTGCCAGTGCGTACAGGGGGAACACACAGTGTGACCGCGTGATTGCCAGTGCGTACAGGGGGAACGACACAGTGTGGCTGCGTGATTGCCAGTGCACGACGAGGGGAACACACAGTGTGACGCGTGATTGCCAGTGCGTACAGGGGGAACACACAGTGTGACCGCGTGATTGCCAGTGCGTACA
The DNA here is from genome assembly GCF_000001405.40 of Homo sapiens. Taxonomy (NCBI): domain Eukaryota; kingdom Metazoa; phylum Chordata; class Mammalia; order Primates; family Hominidae; genus Homo; species Homo sapiens. The sequence goes on from NT_187647.1 coordinate 48,729, forward strand.
GGGGGAACACACAGTGTGACCGCGTGATTGCCAGTGCGTACAGGGGGAACACACAGTGTGGCTGCGTGATTGCCAGTGCACAGGGGGAACACACAGTGTGGCTGCGTGATTGCCAGTGCGTACAGGGGGAACACACAGTGTGGCTGCGTGATTGCCAGTGCGTACAGGGGGAACACACAGTGTGACCACGTGATTGCCAGTGCGTACAGGGGGAACACACAGTGTGACCGCGTGATTGCCAGTGCGTACAGGGGGAACACACAGTGTGGCTGCGTGATTGCCAGTGCACACGGGGGGAACACACAGTGTGACCGCGTGATTGTGACCAGTGCGTACAGGGGGAACACACAGTGTGACCGCGTGATTGCCAGTGCGTACAGGGGGAACACACAGTGTGACCGCGTGATTGCCAGTGCGTACAGGGGGAACACACAGTGTGGCTGCGTGATTGCCAGTGCACACGGGGGGAACACACAGTGTGGCCGCGTGATTGCCAGTGCGTACAGGGGGAACACACAGTGTGACCGCGTGATTGCCAATGCACACGGGGGGGAACACACAGTGTGACCGCGTGATTGCCAGTGCGTACAGGGGGAACACACAGTGTGGCTGCGTGATTGCCAGTCGTAAGGGACACGGGGGGAACACACAGTGTGACCGCGTGATTGCCAGTGCGTACAGGGGGGAACACACAGTGTGGCCGCGTGATTGCCAGTGCGTACAGGGGGAACACACAGTGTGGCTGCGTGATTGCCAGTGCGTACAGGGGGAACACACAGTGTGACCGCGTGATTGCCAGTGCGTACAGGGGGAACACACAGTGTGGCTGCGTGATTGCCAGTGCGTACAGGGGGAACACACAGTGTGACCACGTGCGTACAGGGGGAACACACAGTGTGGCTGCGTGATTGCCAGTGCGTACAGGGGGAACACACAGTGTGGCTGCGTGATTGCCAGTGCGTACAGGGGGAACACACAGTGTGGCCGCGTGATTGCCAGTGCGTACAGGGGGAACACACAGTGTGGCTGCGTGATTGCCAGTGCGTACAGGGGGAACACACAGTGTGACCGCGTGATTGGCCAGTGCGTACAGGGGGAACACACAGTGTGGCTGCGTGATTGCCAGTGCGTAAGGGGAACACACAGTGTGGCTGCGTGATTGCCAGTGCACGACGGGGGAACACACAGTGTGACCGCGTGATTGCCAGTGCACACGGGGGGAACACACAGTGTGACCGCGTGATTGCCAATGCACACGGGGGGAACACACAGTGTGACCGCGTGATTGCCAGTGCGTACAGGGGGGAACACACAGTGTGACCGCGTGATTGCCAGTGCGTACAGGGGGAACACACAGTGTGGCTGCGTGATTGCCAATGCACACGGGGGGAACACACAGTGTGACCGCGTGATTGCCAGTGCGTACAGGGGGAACACACAGTGTGACCGCGTGATTGCCAGTGCGTACAGGGGGAACACACAGTGTGGCTGCGTGATTGCCAGTGCACACGGGGGGGAACACACAGTGTGACCGCGTGATTGCCAGTGTGTACAGGGGGAACACACAGTGTGACCGCGTGATTGCCAGTGCGTACAGGGGGAACACACAGTGTGGCTGCGTGATTGCCAGTGCACACGGGGGGAACACACAGTGTGGCCGCGTGATTGCCAGTGCGTACAGGGGGAACACACAGTGTGGCTGCGTGATTGCCAATGCACACGGGGGGGAACACACAGTGTGGCCGCGTGATTGCCAGTGCGTACAGGGGGGAACACACAGTGTGGCTGCGTGATTGCCAGTGCACACGGGGGGAACACACAGTGTGGCCGCGTGATTGCCAGTGCGTACAGGGGGAACACACAGTGTGACTGCGTGATTGCCAGTGCGTATGATTGCCAGTGCGTACAGGGGAACACACAGTGTGGCTGCGTGATTGCCAGTGCACACGGGGGAACACACAGTGTGGCTGCGTGATTGCCAGTGCGTACAGGGGAACACACAGTGTGACCGCGTGATTGCCAGTGCGTACAGGGGAACACACAGTGTGACCGCGTGATTGCCAGTGCGTACAGGGGGAACACACAGTGTGACCGCGTGATTGCCAGTGCGTACAGGGGGAACACACAGTGTGGCTGCGTGATTGCCAGTGCACACGGGGGGAACACACAGTGTGGCCGCGTGATTGCCAGTGCGTACAGGGGGAACACACAGTGTGGCTGCGTGATTGCCAGTGCGTACAGGGGGAACACACAGTGTGGCTGCGTGATTGCCAGTGCGTACAGGGGAACACACAGTGTGACCGCGTGATTGCCAGTGCGTACAGGGGAACACACAGTGTGGCTGCGTGATTGCCAGTGCGTACAGGGGAACACACAGTGTGGCCGCGTGATTGCCAGTGCGTACAGGGGAACACACAGTGTGACCGCGTGATTGCCAGTGCGTACAGGGGAACACACAGTGTGACCGCGTGATTGCCAGTGCGTACAGGGGGAACACACAGTGTGGCTGCGTGATTGCCAGTGCACACGGGGGGAACACACAGTGTGACCGCGTGATTGCCAGTGTGTACAGGGGGAACACACAGTGTGGCTGCGTGATTGCCAGTGCGTACAGGGGGAACACACAGTGTGGCTGCGTGATTGCCAGTGCACACGGGGGGAACACACAGTGTGGCTGCGTGATTGCCAGTGCGTACAGGGGGAACACACAGTGTGGCTGCGTGATTGCCAGTGCATACAGGGGGAACACACAGTGTGGCTGCGTGATTGCCAGTGCGTACAGGGGGAACACACAGTGTGACCGCGTGATTGCCAGTGCGTACAGGGGGAACACACAGTGTGGCTGCGTGATTGCCAGTGCACACGGGGGGAACACACAGTGTGACCGCGTGATTGCCAGTGCGTACAGGGGGAACACACAGTGTGGCTGCGTGATTGCCAGTGCACGACGGGGAACACACAGTGTGGCTGCGTGATTGCCAGTGCACACGGGGGAACACACAGTGTGACCGCGTGATTGCCAGTGCGTACAGGGGAACACACAGTGTGGCTGCGTGATTGCCAGTGCGTACAGGGGGAACACACAGTGTGGCCGCGTGATTGCCAGTGCACACGGGGGGAACACACAGTGTGGCCGCGTGATTGCCAGTGCGTACAGGGGGAACACACAGTGTGACTGCGTGATTGCCAGTAGTGCACACGGGGGGAACACACAGTGTGGCCGCGTGATTGACAGTGCACACGGGGGGAACACACAGTGTGGCCGCGTGATTGACAGTGCACACGGGGGGAACACACAGTGTGGCTGCGTGATTGCCAGTGCGTACAGGGGGAACACACAGTGTGGCCGCGTGATTGCCAATGCACACGGGGGAACACACAGTGTGGCTGCGTGATTGCCAGTGCACACGGGGGGAACACACAGTGTGGCTGCGTGATTGCCAGTGCGTACAGGGGGGAACACACAGTGTGACCGCGTGATTGCCAGTGCGTACAGGGGGAACACACAGTGTGGCCGCGTGATTGCCAGTGCACACGGGGGGAACACACAGTGTGGCCGCGTGATTGACAGTGCACACGGGGGGAACACACAGTGTGGCTGCGTGATTGCCAGTGCGTACAGGGGGAACACACAGTGTGGCCGCGTGATTGCCAATGCACACGGGGGGAACACACAGTGTGGCCGCGTGATTGCCAGTGTGTACAGGGGGAACACACAGTGTGGGCTGCGTGATTGCCAGTGCATACAGGGGGAACACACAGTGTGGCTGCGTGATTGCCAGTGCGTACAGGGGGAACACACAGTGTGACCACGTGATTGCCAATGCACACGGGGGGAACACACAGTGTGGCTGCGTGATTGCCAGTGCACACGGGGGGAACACACAGTGTGGCTGCGTGATTGCCAGTGCGTACAGGGGGAACACACAGTGTGACCGCGTGATTGCCAGTGCGTACAGGGGGAACACACAGTGTGACCACGTGATTGCCAGTGCGTACAGGGGGAACACACAGTGTGACCGCGTGATTGCCAATGCACACGGGGGGAACACACAGTGTGGCTGCGTGATTGCCAGTGCACACGGGGGGAACACACAGTGTGGCTGCGTGATTGCCAGTGCATACAGGGGGAACACACAGTGTGGCTGCGTGATTGCCAATGCGTACAGGGGAACACACAGTGTGGCTGCGTGATTGCCAATGCACACGGGGGAACACACAGTGTGGCCGCGTGATTGCCAGTGCACACGGGGGAACACACAGTGTGACCACGTGATTGCCAGTGCGCACAGGGGGAACACACAGTGTGGCCGCGTGATTGCCAATGCACACGGGGGGAACACACAGTGTGGCTGCGTGATTGCCAGTGCGTACGAGGGGGAACACACAGTGTGGCCGCGTGATTGCCAATGCACACGGGGGGAACACACAGTGTGGCCGCGTGATTGCCAGTGTGTAGATTGCCAGTGCATACAGGGGGAACACACAGTGTGGCTGCGTGATTGCCAGTGCGTACAGGGGGAACACACAGTGTGGCTGCGTGATTGCCAGTGCGTACAGGGGGAACACACAGTGTGGCTGCGTGATTGCCAATGCATACGGGGGGAACACACAGTGTGACCACGTGATTGCCAGTGCGTACAGGGGGAACACACAGTGTGACCGCGTGATTGCCAGTGCACACGGGGGGGAACACACAGTGTGACCGCGTGATTGCCAGTGCGTACAGGGGGGAACACACAGTGTGACCGCGTGATTGCCAGTGCGTACGAGACGTGAGCACGACACAGTGTGACCACGTGATTGCCAGTGCGTACAGGGGGAACACACAGTGTGAACGCGTGATTGCCAGTGCACACGGGGGGAACACACAGTGTGACCGCGTGATTGCCAGTGCGTACAGGGGAACACACAGTGTGACCGCGTGATTGCCAGTGCGTACAGGGGGAACACACAGTGTGGCTGCGTGATTGCCAGTGCGTACAGGGGGAACACACAGTGTGACCGCGTGATTGCCAGTGCACACGGGGGGAACACACAACTGCGCTTTGGGAAGGACCGACTGGTCGAGGGGAGGAACCATGAATGGTCATTTAAAACCATTTTAAACCTTTTTATTAAACAAAAAAAGCAGAAATCACAAAAAAAGGAAAAGCAAAAGTCAAAGTTATACAACACAAAGTTGAAGTTTTCAAAACCTGAAAATGGAGTGTGTGTATTGAAGGGAGTTTCATATCTTTCATAAATGATCACTAATGCAGAAAATTTCACCTTCAATTACTATCAGTGTATTCATCAGGCGTTTTGGAATTCGGTTTATCTTAAATGCCTTCTATGTTTGTAGGTTTTTTTCTTTGAATTAGAACATTTTAAGGTATGTATACCTGTATGAAAATAGACGCATGACAAACACGTCATAAATAGAAGATGTCTTCACTCTAAAGATGCACACAGGTTTTTAAGTTACTATAAGTTTTTACTAGTTACCTACTCAGGTAGCAAGTTAATAGGACCACAATCAAGATTGTCTACTTTTGAAAATATCAACCAGGTAGACAATTATGGGACAAAATGACGTCCCCAAAGGACGTGGGGCTGTGGTGTGGTGAGACTCGTCGGAGACGCTGGACACCAGTGCTGATGCCAATGGAAAGAAAGGGCGTGGGGGGCTGTGGGTTTCCTCATGTTATGACCACGGTTTCCTGGGGGTGCAGCGCGTTCTCTGATGCTCTGACCACGGGTTCCTACATGGGGTGTGTTTTCTTCATCATCGTGGGCCCTGTGTTTTAAGTTCTATAACCAACATTTCCATGGAGTCTCTTTCATACTCAAAACCCATGTTTACATTTGTAAAAGAAAAGTTACAGTTATCTATTTAAACCTTCCAGTGGATAATAATGAAACTCTTTAAAACACAAGCCACTAGGCAGAAAGTCCACACCGAGGTGCTGGGGTCGCCTCAGAAGCTGACAATGCCAGGAGCTCCGTCCAGCCCAGCAAACTGAGGCAGGAGGCTGGGTTTCAGGTCCTGACCGGCTCAGAGAGAGGGCGGCTTCCAGTCTGGGTTCGTTTCTCGCTGAGAATGTACTGTGGATGCAAGGTTGGTACGGGGTGAACAGATGCTTAATTCACTGGGGCCCCTTCCCTGGGCAGGAGGCCCACGAGGCTGAGGAAGTCAATGAATAAGGACAACCACCTAGCGAACAAAACCCAGCCAGAACCAAAGCAAATGAAAGCAGCCTTCCGTGTCGCTGGTGCTCTAGTGGGTGGAAATTACTAGCAGCTTCTTGCATATGGTTGACTTTTGTGCTTAATATCTGGTGTTTTCTACTTTTGGGATTTTGTCCTTGGATGCCATGCAGAGGTCGTGCTGGAGTGGATAATCCCAGCTCCACGCCCGTGCCCCACATCGAGGTGACTTTGGGTGTGAACGAGGCAATGGAATGCTAGACTGACGTCTTCATGCTGCTGACCAACAGCTTCCCAGCGATGGCAATGGTGGGACAGGGGTCATTCCGTGGAGAGTCGGGGCGGGTGCTGTGTTTTCAGAGGTCACAGCCGCCACCGCCCTGCTCCGAGCTCCAGGTTTGGGATGGTGTCACCGAAGAGAACTCGGCCTCTGCGAAGGGCTGTGCGGGGAGATGCGGTGGAGAGGAAGAGCCGCCGGGGTGTTGAGAAACGATGATTTCAAAAACTTCTGCTGAAAGTGAGGAATGCATAAGAAGTGGGTGGTTTTCAGTTCTGCTCTTCATGGCTCCCACACTGCTGGTTACGGCCCATTTCCATCTTTCTTTTTTATTTGTTTATTTATTTTTTTGAGACGGAGTCTCGCACTGTCGCCCAGGCTGGAGGGCAGGGGCGCGATCTCAGCTCACTGCAAGCTCGGCCTCCCGGGTTCAAGCCATTCTCCCGCCTCAGCCTCCCCAGTAGCCAGGGTTACAGGTGCCCGCCACCACGCCCGGCTAAGTTTTTGTATTTTTAGTAGAAACGGGGTTTCACCGTGTTAGCCGGGATGGACTTGATCCCTGACCTCGTGATCCGCCCGCCTCAGCCTCCCAAAGTGCTGAGATTAATAGGCATGAGCCACTGCGCCCGGCCCTTCCATTTCCATGTTTCTTACACTGAGCCCTTGGTGAAATATTTTTCATTTACGTAGCTTTCTCATCTAAATCATTCCAACTCTCCTGCCAACATTGCATTAGCGTGACCTTCCTCTTCTGAGATCGTCATGGAGCAGTAGAACCTTTTCTACCTAATTTTAACCTCAGAATCGCAGTGTTGGGGGGAGTTTTGGGGGGAGTGAAAAGCCGTCTTAGCCTCAGTCAGGCTCTGCTTCTAACACGTCTACAACATTCCCGTCAGTAGTTGGACTAAGATTGATTAAAGCAAAACAAACAGAACACCGTTTTGAAACAGGGATGACGGCTGCATGTCGGGGGAGCCTCCCTCACCGCCTCGGGCTGGGCCACGCAGACCCCGGCCAGGACTGCCCGACCTGGTCCCCGGGGCGATGGATGGAGAGAGGACTCTACACTGCTAGGTGAGTAGATCTCAGAGGCTCCACAGAGAAGGGGGAGCCGCGGCCTGTGCAGCGAGTGGAGTCTCAGGGATCCCGCCTGGAGCCTGCGGTGGGGTCGGGCAGGCCTGGGGGGTCTTCGTGGCCCAGCCCGAGGTGGCCGGGGAGGCTCTCCAGGGATGCAGCCATCGTCCCTGTTGCAGTGCAGTTTTCTGTTTGTTTTGATCAAATCCTGGACCAGCAACCGACAGGAGAGCATCTGGGGGTGCGCGTGGGACGTGCCTAGCCCCTGCCAGCCCGGGCAGACTCCGCACATCTGCAGGACACACTGCGTGTCGTTACAGGCAGCTGCAGGCCTCTCTGGGGGGCGTGGGGTGCCCTGCACCCCTCCATCCTTCTGCGGGGCTCCCCTCCTTCCATGCCCTGGGCTTCATGCCCCGTCAGGGGACACCCATGGGTCCCACCCAGAGCTCCGCCTTTCGCATCCCCAGAGACGGCTAGTGTCTTGCTCCTCTCGAACCCAGCAGTGCTGCGTCCTGCCTTCCAGCCCGCATGGAGCGGATGAGCTGAGACAAGGGGCCGGATGCGAATCACAGCTGAAAAGACCGCTCCGGCCTGGTGGGCAGGATGTCTGCACTTTCACAAGACTTTTCAGCCACCTTGAAAAGGGATCCTGAGAATATTAGATCCTATTGCAGGGTTACGGGTGGGAAATTGTTTTAGGAACTCCCGATTCCCTGATTCTCAGAAAGTCAAGCTGAACCTCCTGCCGACAGGAAAGTTTGTGCGCAGCTGAGCTTGGCGAGGCTGCCAGGCCCCGCGTTCCAGAGAGAGGCAGGTCAGGGCCTGGCTGCCCTGCAGCTGCCCCAGAAAATCCGCAATGGAAATTTGCCTCTCAGTACTGAGGACATTGCTCTCACATGCGGTGAGTTTGTTTTCTGAAGAATCCATCCACTTTATCTGAGTGTTGAGTTCATGTGTGTGGAGTTGTCATGTTATTCCCTGTTTATCCTTTAGTGCCTGCAGTGTCTGCAGCAATGACCCATCTTTCTTTTCCAATGTTGGTAAACTGTGTCTCCCTCCCCTCCTTTTTTATTCAATGGTAGTGTTAGAAGTTCATCAATTTTATTCAAATTTATTCAAAGAATTGGGTTTGGTGTCATTCATTTCTCTATTGTATTTTAAAATAATTTTGTTGTTTTTGATCTTACCTTTATTATTTCCCTACTCCTGCTTGGTTTTGATTCTTTTTGGTTTCCTTTTTCTACCTTTTAAAAAGTGGAAACCTACATTATTGAGAACTTTCTATCTTTTTAGTATAATCTCTATTAATAGAACAGTGTTACCATTCCTGACTGTGGACTTTTGTCCATTTCTATTTTGGGTTTTTAAAATTTTTGTTTCAAGTGTTTTAGAGTTCTGGCACTTGGTGAATTCACGTGTAGGACTGTTGTTTTCTTGACCCTTTTGTCATTATTTATTTCTTCTCTTTATCCCTGGTGATTTTGTTTGCTGCAAAGCCTACTTTGCCTGATACTAACGTGGCTTATCCTGCTGTCTTCGATGAGGGTTTGCATGGTGTTTGCTTCACTTTTCATCTTTTGATTTTCATTCTATCTCTATCATTCTATTTGGGGTGATTTAATTTTACACAGTGCATCGCTGTCCAGGAAATAAAATGTACATCGTTAACTTTTCACACTTTGCCTGGAACCCATATTTGCTAGTTGGAATTTGTGAATCCATCTTCATGTAGGTCTCCTTCACCTGCCCCTCCGGTGACAGGAGAGTTATGAGCTAGGTCTGCTCACTGAGTCTCCACGAGAAAATATTCTCATTTAAAACATTCCTTTCTCATGTTTTTCTCTGTTGTTAAGATTGGATAATTTCCATTTAGCTATATTCAAATCCACAGACTCTTTGTTCCATTCTGATATTTCTTTACCTTCTGCTGTAAGTCCCATCCAGTGAGGATCTTTCTTTTAATATTGCCCCTCCATTCTAAGATGTCCATTTGTTTTGTATTTACATCTTCTAGTTCCTTCGTGAGATTTTCTCTGTTCCCATTGGATTCAAGAGTGTTTGTGACTATGGGCGGAGTGATTTTCATGTTTCTGTCAGCAGATCACACAGCTCAGTCATCTTAGCATGGGCATGGGCTGGCTGGCTCCTGTGTGAGTTATTTTCCTGGTTCTTCATATCCTAGTAAGGTTGAATTGCATTCTGGACACCATGAATATTATGTTAGGAGACTCTGCATCTTATTTCATTCCAGTGAAGAATGTTGATTTAGTGTTTGTTTTAGTGAGCATTAACCTGATTAAATTCAGGCTGCAAGTTTCAATAACATTTTGTGGTCTAGGCTTCCACAGCCAGTTCCTTTCTGAAAGCCTTCAGTACTGTTTGCAACTGCCCTGAGTGTGCACCGCCAGGGTCTAGGCTGAGGTCTGTTCATGAGCTCAAATACATGTGAGCAACTCAGGGCAGCCCAGGAGGCCACACGCCACTTACCAAGACTCTCCCTCTCTCGAATCTCCCTCAAATGTCCTCTCTCCCTGGGACCCCTCATTTTTGTTCTTGAGCTAGAAAGCCGGGGATTTAGTTACCTCCTGAGCTGTGCACTCCCACAGCTGAGCCAGGCCTGGGCCAAGTGCTGGGCAGACGGAGGGAGAAAGAAGCAGTGGGTCTGGCCCCATCTTGCTGGAGCCCCACATGGAGAGGAGGTTCCCCTGTGGGGCTGGGTCCTGCCCTCTGCCATTGTTGGCACAGTTGCTGCCACAGACCCAGGTGATTGCCGAGGGCAGGGGGCAGAGGGAAGGGTGTGGGGAGGGTGGGGTGTCTGCCCTTCCCCTTAAGTCCTCTCTCTGTGGCCCCAAGCTCAGACTGTGTGGTCCTTCCTGGAGTGTCCTGCACGTGGCCCCTGAGCGCTTTTGGACCCTGCTGCCTCAATGCGGGCAGGGGATGCAGGAGGGAGGCAGGAGGGGACGCAGGTGCACCCTCTGCCTGGTCACTGCTTCTTGTGTTCTGCACCATTGTTCTTTCCGGAGTCTGTGGTCAGGGACTACCTGGGAGAAGCAGGTGGCATGTCTCCCCTCCTCAACCAGGAATAGAAGCTCCCTGAGCAGGGCCTTCGCAGTGAGGACTCCATAGGGCTCTGGCCGCAGACCTGCCTCAGCTTGCTTGTATGTTCGGTCCTAATGCTCAGGAACGAAACTCGCTTGGATATTTATGCAAACTTTTGTCCCTAGAGTCGTGCAGCTTCAACCACTGCGTACTTTTCATGGAGTCCTTGTTCACATGCATTAGTTTCCTTTTCTAATATTTATACTTTCATGGTACATTAAAATTTGTTCTGTAATGTTTCTATCCCCTAAAAATGTCTTTAAAAAATGAAATTAGATACATATAAAATACCGACGCTTCTTCAGTTATGTCTTAGCCCGTCCGCGTGATCACGAGCTGGGATGGGTCAGCTCATGCGGTGCTGAGGAACCACATGGCTTAAGAGTTGTGACGATCTTCAGGACTTTGTTATGTGGAAGATGGTTTCTGTTTCTACTTTGAATATGAATGTACATTGGTAGGAACAGGACGGGAATGCCACCTCGTGGCATGTCACTATGTGTTAAGAATTCTAAGATGTATGGTCCCGTGAAGAACTTCCAAAGGGATGGCTCACTGACTGACGGTTCCTGACCGCGTTTCACTGCTTCAGGGATGGTTCTGCTGCATTGGTCTTTCCTCGTGGATGATGGCCAGGATTTCACCCCAGTGCAACGTACTGAAGCCCCACTCCTCTGACTTCAGAGCTGTCCAGGGTCCAGCCAATGAGGCAGCTGCCAAGAGGTACCACATACAGGTTGAAAGCACCTTTTTTCAAGGAACTTACAGGACAGCTCCGGGAACTGAGGCCTACACAACAATGGAGAATTCAGGCTTTGTTTCACTTTCTTAAAAAAGAAGTCCAATTAGATGTATGAGTATGACCATGACCATGCATAAATATAACTAATTTCTGAAAGTGCTGCATACGTGAGTGCTGGTTCTCGGGTGCCAGTACAACGCCACGTGTGTGAGGCTGTCAACACTAGGAAGAAGAAAGACACTCCCAAAATACAAGTCAGAACAGGGGCAAGCGCTGGAGGAGACCAGTGAAAGGCCACCCGCCACCCCCAGAGCCTGGTAGAAAGCAGCTCGCCCAGGAGGGGTGGCCGGGTTCTGTGCCAGCTTCCCGGGGCTACTTAACAGTGCTCCAGAGACTGGGGCTTCAACAACAGAAACCTATTGTCTCACAGTTCTGGAGGCCAGAAGTCTCTGAGATCAAGGTTAGCCGGAGGTGGTGGCAGGTGCCTGTAGTTCCAGGTACTCAGGAGGCTGAGGCAGGAGAATCGCTTGAACCTGGGAGGTGGTGGAGGTTGCAGTGAGCCGAGATCACACCACTGCACTCCAGCCTGGGCAACAGAGTGAGAATCCGTCCAACAAAAAAAAAAAAAAAAAAAGGAAGGTTCCAAGTACTATGAAGAAAAATAAAGCAGACTGGACTTGGTGGCTTATGCCTGTCATCCCAACACTTTGGGAGGCTGAGGTGGGAGGATTGCTTGAGACCAGCCAGGGCAACGTGGCAAAATCCTGTCTCCAAAAAAAAAAAAAGTTTAGCTGGGTGTGGTGGCATGTGCCTGTAGTCCCAGCCACTGGGGAGGCTGAGGAGGAAGGATTGCTGGATCCCAGAAGGTGAAGGTTGAAGTGAGCCAAGATTACACCATTGCACTCCAGCCTGGGTGACAGAGCCAGACCCTGTCTCAGAAAAAGAAAGAAGAAGAAAAAAAAGAAGAAAGAAAGAAAAAAGAAAGAAAGAAAAAAAGAAAGAGAAAGCAAGCAAGCAGAGATGGGGGCATGCAGGGGAGGGGCTGGGGACGCAGGGGAGGGGCTGGGGATGCAAGCTTCCCTGAGCTTCCACAGTTCTCTGCTCCTCTCCTGTCTCATGGGGCGTGGGACACCTGGGGCTTGCGGTTGTTTTGCGCCAAGCTAATATCTTGTTCTTCCCAACAGACGGAGGCCGATTGAGGCTTCTCTGTCCTCCACGGGGACCAGCATTGGCCTAAACCTGCAGACACCATTGCAAAGTCAGCTCAGGTGAACCCACTGGCAAAGGATTCCAGCGTGGAGACACAGAGGTTGACATTTCTTGCCGTGGGTGATTTAATGTTGGGCCTCAATTTTTCACTTCCCCCGCAAGAGTATGACACAGCCCCAGCCTTCCTAGGGCCCGAGGGAGGGTGGATGGACTTATCCATCCCATAGGTGCTGCTCGAGACTGGGTGACTTGCTTCTGCCAATGAGATTTTCACAGACATGGCACAAGCAGAAGCCTGGAATGTGTGGGCACTGCCAGGCCTGCCCTCTAAGGCTCTTGATTTTCCCCACGAGATGTGCGAGCCCCAGGGGAGGGTGGCTCTGGCTGTGGGATGAGAGGCGTGTGGAGCAGGCATGGTTCCCATCCTCAGCCTGGAGTCAAGGCCAGACTAGATCAGCCTGAGCCCAGCCACGCCACGGGTGCAGGAGTGAAGAGCAAATGCCAACGGTCCATGACAGTGACTTTCAAAGGGGCGTGTCGTGTGCCTCATCCCAGCAACAGGGAAGGCATTTCTCTATCAGTCAGTTGGTAAATGATTATTGACAATGTGTGGGAAGGTGGAGTGATTTGAGTAGATCTGGCCTCTACTCTCATGGAGCTTCCTTTCTAGAGGGAAAGGCAGATGTTGGATGGATAAATATAAATGATTCTAATAGGTTGGTGCAGCAGTCATGAAAAGTAATGGCAAAAAAAGAAACGGGGAGGAGCCGGTGCTGCGGTTCATTAATAGTAACGGCAAAAACCGCGATGACTTCTGCACCAACCTAACCCGGTAACCACGGGTGTGTGAATGTGGCGATGGGCAAGTTCCGAGAGCTAGGAGAGCATCTAGCTTCCTGGGAAGTTCCGAGAGCTAGGAGAGCATCTAGCTTCCTGGGAAGTTCCGAGAGCTAGGAGAGCATCTAGCTTCCTGGGAAGTTCCGAGTGGTAGGAGAGCATCTAGCTTCCCGGAGTCAGGAGACGGGGGTTGGCAACCTGACCAAGGCTAAGTCCAAGGGAGGGGGGTGGGCGGGGAGCGATATGTCAGTGGAGACTCCAAGGATGAATGGTATTTAGAGAGTAAACCCCAGTGGTGAGAGGGGGTGTGTGGCTGGCACAGAGAAGAGCCTGTGCAAAGGCCGGCGGGGCGAGAGGACACCGGGTGCTCTTCCACCTGAGGGGCGACCAGCAGGCTGGAGCTGAGCGAGCTGAGGATGCGGAGCCCGGGAAAGGCACCCCAGGCAGACGGCACAGCAGGGGAAAGGCTGGAGTCAGGCCTGAGCCTGTGTGGTTTGAAGAACTGACAGAGGCCTGTCCGGCAGAGGGGAGAGACCTTAGGCCAGAGTAGAGGGCAGGGCCGTGTTGGGCACTGTGGGCTTTGGATGGTGCTGGCATTTAAGAGGGGGGACCATAGACCAGGGCAGAGGGGAGAGGAGGACCTGGCTGGGCACCAGAGTGGAGACCATAGACCAGGGCAGAGGGGAGGGGAGGGCCGGGCTGGGCACCGGAGTGGAGACCATAGACCAGGGCAGAGGGCAGGGCCATGAGGGCACTGTGGGCTGTGGATGGAGCTGGCATTTAAGAGGGGAGACCATAGACCAGGGCAGAGGGCAGGGCCGTGCTGGGCACTGTGGGCTGTGGATGGGAGCTGCCATTTATGCTCGGGTGATGGGAATGTGTTAAAAGATTTTAAGGAGGGGAGTAACAGTTGGGATTAATGTGTATTCTGGGAATCTCAACAAAGTAAATTCATAGTTTGAATTTTCATAAGCCTTCTGCACAGGCAGAGAGAAATAAGATCGTGTCTACAGCTGTGTGATGATTATATTAAAAATATTACTAAGTTTTTAAACGTCATTTCAAATGGTGTGTTTCTATCTCACATTGGACAAAAGTAGATTGCAAGGTTAATGGAAAGTAGAAAAGTTAACTCATGAACGTAAGAGACATCGATTTGAAAACAAAACATTTATTCATTTACTTCTGCTGCAGTTTTCTTGACTGCTGAATTTCATGAGAAGGGATTGTTCAGGGAGGGTTGTGGGGCGGAAGACTTGGACGGCAGCTAGTGATTCCGCTGTTCAAACCTGAGGGTGGTGGAGCTGGAGCCTTGGGGAGGGGCCGATGCTGCCTTTTAAGTCTGAGAGTCGTTGAGCTGGACGTCCACGGAGGAGCTGGTGCTGCCACTGATGTCTTAGATTGTGGAGCTGAAGGCAATGAAGGAGCTGATGTGGCTGTTCCTCTGTGAGGGTCGTGGAGCTGGAGATCCAGGGGGAGAGGTGTCCTAGTTTGAGGTTCCTGCAGCTGCAGACCCAGAGAGGAGCTGGTGTTTCTTTTGTTTGAGGGTCGCACAGCTGTAGAACCCGGGAGGAGCTGGCGTTTTTCTAGTATTAGTGTCCTGCCACTGGAGAGGAGCTGATGTTCCAGGAAGCTGATGTTCCAGTTAGAGGGCCGTGCAGCTGGAGACCCGGCGGGGGAGCTGATGTTCCAGGAAGCTGATGTTCCAGTTTGAGGGCCGTGTAGCTGGAGGCGCGGTGGGGAGCTGATGTTCCAGTTAGAGGGCCGTGCAGCTGAAGACGCAGGGGGGAGCTGATGTTCCAGTTTGAGGGCCGTGCAGCTGGAGACCCGCGGGGGGAGCTGATGTTCCAATTTGAGGGCCGTGCAGCTGGAGACCCTGGGGAGAGCTGATGTTCTAGTTTGAGGGTCCTGCAGCTGGAGACCCGGGGGAGAGCTGATGTTCCAGTTTGAGGGCTGGGGAGCTGATGTTCCAGTTTGAGAGCCGGGAAGCTGATGATCCAGTTTGAGGGCCGTGAAGCTGGAGACCCTGGGAGGAGCTGATGTTCTAGTTTGAGGGTCATGCAGCTGGAGACCCTAGGGAGAGCTGATGTTCCCGTTTGAGGATTGGGGATCTGATGTTCCAGTTTGAGGGCTGGGGAGCTGATGATCCAGTTTGAGGGTCATGCAGCTGGAGACCCTGGGGAGGAGCTGATGTTCTAGTTTGAGGGTCATGCAGCTGGAGACCCTGAGGGGGTTTGAGGATTGGGGATCTGATGTTCCAGTTTGAGGGCTGGGGAGCTGATGATCCAGTTTGAGGGTCATGCAGCTGGAGACCCTGGGGAGGAGCTGATGTTCTAGTTTGAGGGTCATGCAGCTGGAGACCCTGAGGGGGAGCTGATGTTCCAGTTTGAGGGCCGTGCAGCTGGAGACCCTCGGGGGAGCTGATGTTCCTGTTTGAGGGCTGGGAAGCTGATGATCTGGTTTGAGGGCCGTGCAGCTGGAGACCCTCAGGGGAGCTGATGTTCCAGTTTGAGGGTCATGCAGCTGGAGACCCTGGGAGGAGCCGATATTCCAGTTTGAGGGCCGTGCAGCTGGAGACCCTGGGAGGAGCTGATGTTCTAGTTTGAGGGTCATGCAGCTGGAGACCCTAGGGAGAGCTGATGTTCCCGTTTGAGGATTGGGGATCTGATGTTCCAGTTTGAGGGCTGGGGAGCTGATGATCCAGTTTGAGGGTCATGCAGCTGGAGACCCTGGGGAGGAGCTGATGTTCTAGTTCACGATCAGTTTGAGGGTCATGCAGCTGGAGACCCTGGGGAGGAGCTGATGTTCTAGTTTGAGGGTCATGCAGCTGGAGACCCTGGGAGGAGCCGATATTCCAGTTTGAGGGCCGTGCAGCTGGAGACCCTGGGAGGAGCTGATGTTCTAGTTTGAGGGTCATGCAGCTGGAGACCCTAGGGAGAGCTGATGTTCCCGTTTGAGGATTGGGGATCTGATGTTCCAGTTTGAGGGCTGGGGAGCTGATGATCCAGTTTGAGGGTCATGCAGCTGGAGACCCTGGGGAGGAGCTGATGTTCTAGTTTGAGGGTCATGCAGCTGGAGACCCTGGGAGGAGCCGATATTCCAGTTTGAGGGCCGTGCAGCTGGAGACCCTGGGAGGAGCTGATGTTCTAGTTTGAGGGTCATGCAGCTGGAGACCCTAGGGAGATTGAGGGCCGTGCAGCTGGAGACCCTGGGGAGGAGCTGATGTTCTAGTTTGAGGGTCATGCAGCTGGAGACCCTGGGAGGAGCCGATATTCCAGTTTGAGGGCCGTGCAGCTGGAGACCCTGGGAGGAGCTGATGTTCTAGTTTGAGGGTCATGCAGCTGGAGACCCTAGGGAGAGCTGATGTTCCCGTTTGAGGATTGGGGATCTGATGTTCCAGTTTGAGGGCTGGGGAGCTGATGATCCAGTTTGAGGGTCATGCAGCTGGAGACCCTGGGGAGGAGCTGATGTTCTAGTTTGAGGGTCATGCAGCTGGAGACCCTAGGGAGAGCTGATGTTCCCGTTTGAGGGCTGGGGAGCTGATGATCCAGTTTGAGGGTCATGCAGCTGGATACCCTGGGGAGGAGCTGATGTTCTAGTTTGAGGGTCATGCAGCTGGAGACCCTCGGGGGAGCTGATGTTCCAGTTTGAGGGCTGGGGAGCTGATGTTCCAGTTTGAGGGCTGGGAGGCTGATGATCCAGTTTGAGGGCCGTGCAGCTGGAGACCCGGGGGGAGCTGATGTTCCAGTTTGAGGGTCATGCAGCTGGAGACCCTGGGGGGAGCTGATATTCCAGTTTGAGGGTTGGGGAGCTGATGTTCCAGTTTGAGGGCCAGGAAGCTGATGATCCAGTATGAGGGCAGTGCAGCTGGAGACCGGCGGGGAGCTGATGTTGCAGCTTGAGGGCCATGCAGCTGGAGACCCTGGGGGGAGTTGATGTTCCGGTTTGAGGGTCGTGCAGCTGGAGACCCGGGGTGGGAGCTGATGTTGCCGTTTGAGGGCCTTGCAGCTGGAGACCTGGAGGGAGCTGATGTTCTAGTTTGGGGGTCATGCAGCTGGAGACCCTGGGGGGAGCTGATGTTCCAGTTTGAGGGCTGGGGAGCTGATGTTCCAGTTTGAGGGCCGTGCAGCTGGAGACCCGGGGGGAGCTGATGTTTCGGTTTTAGGGCTGTGAAGCTGGAGACCCGGGGGGAGCTGATGTTTCGGTTTTAGGGCTGTGAAGCTGGAGACCCTGGGGGGAGCTGATGATCCAGTTTGAGGGCCTTCCAGCTGGAGACCCAGCAGGGAGCTGATGTTCCAGTTTGAGGGCCTTGCAGCTGGAGACTCTGGGGGGAGCTGATGTTCTAGTTTGAGGGTCATGCAGCTGGAGACCTCGGGGGAGCTGATGTTCCAGTTTGAGGGCCAGGAATCTGATGTTCCAGTTTGAGGGCCGTGCAGCTGGAGACCTGGGGGGGAGCTGATATTGCAGTTAGAGGGTGGTGCAGCTGGAGACCTGGGGGGGAGCTGATGTTACAGTTTCCGGGTCATGCAGCTGGATATCCCAGGGGGAGCAGGTGTTTTTTAATTGGAGGGTCATGCTGTAGAACCTGGGAGGAGCTTGCCTCTTTCTTGTATGAGTGTCATACAGCTGGAGACCCGGAGTGGGGCTGATGTTCTAGTTTGCGAGTTGTGCAGCTGGAGACCCGGGGAGGAGCTGATGTTCCTGTTTGAGGGTCATGCAGCTGGAGACCCGGGGAGGAGCTGATGTTGTAGTTTGAGGGTTTTGCAACTGGAGACCTGGAGAGGAGCTGATGTTGTTCTAGTTTGAGGCTCCTGCATCTGGAGACTCAGGTAGCAGCTCATGTTTTCTGATCAAAAGGTCCTGGAGCTGGAGACACAGGGAGGAGCTGGTGCTGCTCTTGTTTAAGTCTGAGGGTCGTGGAGCTGGAGACCCGGGGATAAGCTGATGTTCTAGTTTGAGGCTCCTGAAGCTGGAGACCCAGGTAGGAGTTCATGTTTTTCTGATCAGAGGGTCATGGAGCTGGAGACATGGGGAGGAGCTGATGTTTTCCTAGTTTGAGGGTCGTGTCGCTGGAAACCCGGGGAGGAGCTGCTGGTGTTCTAGTTTGTGGGTTGTGGAGCCGGAGATCCGGGGAGGAGCTGGTGTTTTTCTCATGTGAGGTTTGTGGAGCTGGATACCCAGGGGAGGAGCTAGTGTTTTTCTAGTTTGAGGGTCGTGCAGCTGACCCTCAAATGACCTCAAACTAGAAAAACACTGACCCCCAAGGGTGTCCAGCTCCACGACCCTCAAACTAGAAAAACACCAGCTCCTCCCTGGGTGTCCAGCTCCACGACGCTCAAACTAGAAAAACACCAGCTCCTCCCTGGGTGTCCAGCTCCATGACGCTCAAACTAGAAAAACACCAGCTCCTCCCTGGGTGTCCAGCTCCACGATGCTCAAACTAGATTAAAATCAGCTCCTTCCCGGGTGTCCAGCTGCACGACCATCAAACTAGAAAAACCTGGGGAGTTTTTTTTAGTTTGCTGCTGTTTTTCTAGTTTGAGGGTCATGTAGTTGGAGACCTGAGGAGGAGCTGATGTTCCAGATTGAGGGTCGTGGAGCTGGAGACCAGGGGAGGAGCTGGTGTTTTTTCTAGTTGGAGGATTGTGCAGCTGGAGACCCAGGGAGAAGCTGATGTTGTTTCAATTTGAGAGCCGTGGAGCTGGAGACCCGGAGAGGAGCTGATGGTGTTCTAGTTTGACAGTTGTAGAGCTGGAGACCCAGGGAGGAGCTGTTGTCTTTATAGTTTGAGTGTCATGCAGCTGGAGACCCTGGGAGGAGCTGATGTTCTAGTCTGAGAGTCGTGCAGCTGGAGACCCTGGGAGGAGCTGATGTTCTAGTCTGAGAGTCGTGCAGCTGGAGACCCTGGGAGGAGCTGATGTTCTAGTCTGAGAGTCGTGCGGCTGGAGACCCTGGGAGGAGCTGATGTTCTAGTCTGAGAGTCGTGCGGCTGGAGACCCTGGGAGGAGCTGATGTTCTAGTTTGACAGTCGTGCAGCTGGAGATCCAGGGAGGAGGTTGTCCTGTGGTTCAAATCTGAGGGTCCTGGAGCTGGAATCTATGGGAGAAGTTAGAGACCTGCAGAGGAGCCGGTGTTGGTGTTTCTAGTTGAGGGTCGTGGATCTGGAGATACAGCATGGAGTGGTGTTGTTCTAGTTGAGGGTCATGGAGCTAGAGACCCGGAGAGGAGCTGCTGTGTTTCTAGTTGAGGGTCATGGAGCTGGAGACCAGGGGAGGAACTGGTGTCTTTCTAGTTGAGGGTCGTGGATCTGGAGATACAGCATGGAGCGGTGTTGTTCTAGTTGAGGGTCGTGGAGCTGGAGACCCAGGGAGGAGCTGGCGTGTTTCTAGTTGAGGGTCGTGGAGCTGGAGACCTGGGGAGGAGCTGGTGTGTTTCTAGTTGAGGGTCGTGGTGCTGGAGACCCGGGGAGGAGCTGCTGTGTTTCTAGTTGAGGGTTGTTGTGGTGGAGACCCAGGAAGGAGCTGATGTTCCAGTTGAGGGTCGTGGAGCTGGAAACCCAGGGAGGAGCTGGTTCTTCTGTTGTTTAAGTCTGAAGATCGTCGAGTTGGAGATCCAGGGAAGAGCCAGTGCTGCGGTTCAAGTCTGAGGGTCTTGGAGCTTGAGCCCCCAGGAGGAGCCGGTGCTGCCACTAATGTCTTAGGTTGTAAAGCTGGAGACCCGCGGAGGAGCTGGTGTTGCTGTTCTAGTGGGAGGCTTGTGGAGCTGGAGACTGAGGGAGGAGCTGGTGTGTTTCTAGTTGGAGGGTCGTGCGGTTGGAGACCCGGGGAGGAGCTGATGTTTTCCTAGCTTGAGGGTCGTGGAGATATAGACCCACGGATGAGCTGGTGCTGCTGTTGTTTAAGTCTGAGGGTCATGGAGCTGGAGATCTGGGGAACAGCTGGTGCTGCGGTTCAAGTCTGAGGGTCTCAGAGCTGGAGCCCCCTGGGAGGAGTAGGTACTGCCACTGATGTCTTAGGTTTTGGAGCTGGAGACCTGTGGAGAAGCCAGGCTGGTGTTCTAGTTTGAGGTTTGTGGAGCTGGAATCCTGGTCAGGAGCCAGTGATGCTGTTTAAGTCTGAAGTTCATGGAGCTAAACGTGGAGCTGATGTTGGGGAAGTAGAGAGAGAGAGTTTCAGGACGCCGTGGAAACTGTACATGTAGCTGAATCCCAAGCAAGTTAAGCCTGGGAGCTTCTCAGTCCTCGGGATTAATGCATTCCTTTTTCTCTTACACAGTTTGGATTTGTTTTCTGTCTCATGAGACAGAAAGACCCTGATTAATACCCTCAGGAATTGAAAAGCTTAAAAAAACTAAATGATATTGGAATAATAATAATAGAAATTAAACTATGATTATCCTGACTGACAGAATCACACACCACACACAATATATATTTTCAATCAGTTAGTAAAATAATATATAAATTGAAACATAGACCCATGAAGAGCTGTAAAAAGTTATTTCATGGAGAAGTGATGGATGACAGAGATTAATCTGAGAGTTACTGTTAATGGAGAAACTTAGAACTTACCATTTTTCCTGTGAGGTTTCGGTGCTAATACTGATACTCTGTGAGTTCTGGCAGCTGAATCCATTCACATAGGCTGGTGATGCAGCAGGTGTCACAGAAGGACCCTGTCCCAGCTGGTCCTGCTCCACTGCTAGGATGGTGTGGCCTCTGATCTCTGACTGTGTCTTGAGGGGAGACCAGGCCCTTGATCACAAGCGTATCCATGGTGAGGTTCCGTGGATGGAACCTCATGGATGTTCCCTTCCTGATGTTCATTGGCCATCTTGCTATTTAATGCATCTTGTTAATAACTGTCTTCTAAACATTGAATAGAAATAAAGTATTTGTACAATATGGGTAAGGTATAAAGAATATTGACACATTGGACACAGAGGACCTCCACCAGGTTTAGGGAATAGAATCTGAAGAGACATAACTTTGGATGCTCCCTGGAGGCCCTGCCTGAGTCCCAGTCCCTTCTCTTCTCCTACAGAGGGAACCACTTCCTGCTTTAGTCTTTATTATTCCCACACTTTTCTTCATAGTACGTTTCTTTCACCGCGTATGTGTACATCCCTAAACAATAAGCCATTTAGTTTTTGAACTTTGTTTTCTTTTTGAGGCAGGGTCTTGCTCTGTTGCCTTGGCTGTAGTTTTGAACTTTGATGTGAGGAAATTCTCCTGCGTGGCTGCTCCTGCACTGCATGGCTCTGAGCATCTGCTCTATGTCTATTTCTGTCCTCCATTCTCTCCTTGAGACCCACCCACACTGACATGGTTCATTTTCATTGCTGCGTGATCTCCTGTCTCCATTCTCTCCCTGAGACCCACCCACACTGACATGGTCCATTTTCATTGCTGCATGGTCTCTCGTTGTCTGAGGGGAGCATGGGAAATGTCTTCATCTTCCCGTGGATGAGTGTTTGGCCAGGTTGGGGCCCTGAGGACTGCGTTTTGCTGGGAACATTCTTGGGCATTTCTTTTGTCCACAAGTGCAGGTTGCTTCTGGTCAGTAGCTTTCAAGTTTTAAAATTTCATCCCAGGTAAAAAATGTAATTTTCCTCATAACCCACAACACACATCCTTTCATATACAAGCATAACAAAAATATACTTCACAACCATTCTTAGCAGTGCCTGTTGTTCCTGCTTCTCTCCATTCTCCCCAACACCTGCATGGATTGGGTGGTGGGATTTTTGCCCATCTGGTGGGTGTCACGTGATATCTCCCCGTTAGGCTGAGCCCCTCTTCATGTTTTCATTAGTCATTCCTCCACATTTCCTCTTTTGTGGAGGGCCGGTTCAGCTCTTTTGCCCAGTTTCTGTTAAGTTGTTTGAATTTTTGCACTTTTCTTTTATTATTCCTATTGTTATGTGTTTGAGACACAGTCTCACTCTGTTGCCCAGGCTGGAGTACAGTGGCACAATCTCAGCTCACTGCAGCCTCCACCTTCTGGGTTCAAGTGATTTTCCTGCCTTAGCCTCCTGAGTAGCTGGGATTACAGGCGCCCACCACCACGCCTAGCTAATTTTTATATTTTTACTAGAGATGGGGTTTCACCATGTTGTCCAGGCTGGTCTCAAACTCCTGACCTCAGGTGATCCTCCCATCTCAGCCTCCCAAAGTGCTGGGATTACAGGCATGAGCCACCATGCCCGGCCTGCATTTTTCTTTTTCAAGAGGACTCTTTATAGATTATGCGTGCTCATTCTGGTGACTATGTGTGTGGCAAAGATGGGTTTGAATCCACCAGGATGAACGTGCAGGATATCCTCTCTGGTGGGAGAAGAGACAGAGAGGTGTAGACGGGTACAGAGAATCAGACCCGAGAGGAGGCCGAGTCAGGCGGGGGTTGCAGGCTGCTGTGAGGACTTGGCTCCTTCTCTGAGGCGGGTGGGATTAGCAGGGGATTTAAACGGAGGAACTGTGGGATCTCCCTTATGCATTTCTGCCATGGTTGGCTCAGCTGAACGCACCTCTTGAACAAGACTTGGCCTTGGACACCCAGAGGCCCTTGGTTGAGGGTTTACCTCCTGACATGGCCACTGACACATCCACGTTTGGCTCCCACAGGGCTGGGCGGCCCCAAGACCTGCTCTGCCTGGGCCTTTCATTGGTGGCATTTCTCAAGTTTGTCCCCTCTCAAGTCTGCTCCCTCTGGAAAACCAAACACCTCTCTCTCCCACATGGAAACCCCCATCAGCACCTCCCCCAACTCACAAGGCATCCCGTCAACATCACAGTCCCGACCTTCCCACACGGACAAGCTCACGGGACCCCCCGATGGACCAGGACAGCGTGAGCACTAAGACATGCCCTGAGACTCACAGGAAGAGCGGACCAAGAAGACGGGAACAGCACGGGGCCCTGGGAGCTGCAAATGCCCACGATACCGTGAGAGATGGAGAAAGGTATGACAGGAGGAGCAGACCAAGAAGACGGGAACAGCACGGGGCACTGGGAGCTGCAAATGCCCACGATACTGTGAGAGACGGAGAAAGGTATGACAGGAGGAGCAGACCAAGAAGACGGGAGCAGCACGGGGCACTGGGAGCTGCAAATGCCCACGATACCGTGAGAGACGGAGAAAGGTATGACAGGAGGAGC
Organism: Homo sapiens; assembly: GCF_000001405.40. Taxonomy (NCBI): domain Eukaryota; kingdom Metazoa; phylum Chordata; class Mammalia; order Primates; family Hominidae; genus Homo; species Homo sapiens. The sequence goes on from NT_187647.1 coordinate 72,312, forward strand.
AGACCAAGAAGACAGGAGCAGCACGGGGCACTGGGAGCTGCAAACGCCCATGATACTGTGAGAGACGGAGAAAGGTATGGCCATGGCGGACACAAAATGTTACTCAACATTTATCACAGGCCTAAATGGAGAACATAACGCTATCAAACCCTTAGACAAAAACACAGGGGAAAATTCGTACGGCCTGGGGTTAGGCGAAAAGTTCTTAGACATGACACCAAAAGCATGATTCATAAAAGATTGACAAATTAAACTTAATCATACATTTAAAATTATAATTCTATAAAGCAATATAAAAATCCAAAGAGAATGAAACACAAACTATGGTCTAGAAATAAACATTTGTGAATCACACGTCTCACAGCCTACTGGCACGCAGGATATGTGAAGAACCATCAAAACTTAACCATAAGAAAGTAAAAGCCCCAGTATTAAAGAGAGGGCCAATATTGGAACGGAGGCCTCATCAAAGAAGGTATAAGGAGGGCATATTGCCCGAGAAAGAGGCTCAACGTCATAGAGATGCTGGAGAAATGCCAATCAACAGAACCTCTGCAAATCTATTAAAAGGGCTAAAAACAGACAAAAACCACAGGCCGACCCAGGTTCTAATGATGATGCAAAGGAACTGGGACCCTCATAAGCTGCATGGGAATGGGAGGGGCCCCACCATGCTGGAAAGTGGTCCAGGAGTTTCTTATTAAGTTAAGCACATCCTTACCACGTCACCCAGCAACCCCACTCCTGAAATTTCCCCCAAGAGAAAACTTAAATGTGCACACACAAACCTGCACACAAGTGTTTAGGCCTCATTCCTCATTGCCAATAACTGGAAGAAAACAAAATGTCCACCGGCAGGAGAAGGTGTGAACCAACGCGGATGCTTCCACATAGGGAGCACCAACCTGCAGTGGAAAGAAGCACCCACAATGCCCCAGGTCTCCCAGGCCACATGCCCGGTGAAGGAAGCTAGTTTCGGTGGGCACAGGCCGAAGGATGCCACCACGTGACATCTTAGAGAAGACAGTGTACCGTGTCGGGGAGCAGGGCAGTGGTTTCGAGAGGCTACGGGTGGAGGGGCGAATGGAGGAGCTCTCTGGGGAGATGGCGTGAGCACCTGAACCTCACTGTGGGCTGCTGCAGTTGAGAGGCTGTACAGCACACACTGGCTTCAGTACACACAGACTGAAGGAGGAAGGCTCCCACAACTCAAAGACAGAGGGTGTCACCTCCATGAAACAAAAACATATTAAAAAAACTCCTAAAATTAAGAAAAAAACACAACAAGTATTTTATAAGCGCGTTGGACTTTGAGTTGACATAATCGACCTGGGAGCGTGGAACTGAAACCACAGGCTTGGCAATCCCGGAGGGAGAGAGTGGAGGGTTTAGACCTCAATTGAAGGGCTCAGTACCTGGCTATAGGAAATAACAGATTTAAAAAGCGGCAGGGAGGAAATAATTTCTGCTGATGAGGCTGCATTTCTCCAGATAGCCAGCAGAGTAAATTAAAGCAATATAGTAAAACAATGCACATCTTGACGGAAACTCACGATCACAAGGTTGTGGTGAAGGAGATTTGAAGATGTCCAGGAAAGAAAGACAAATGAGATGCATGTTGCAGCTGCCCTTCAAGGGGGGTGTGGGCCAGGTAGCCGTGATTCTCCGTGACGTTGCAGGAATTCTCCTGGCTGGGTCCTCAGGAGCCGTTTCTTCTTGTCCACACTCACCTCCGGGGGCTGGTATGGGTCCCTGGTGGTCATGACTGCACTCAGGGCCAGGGGCCTGCTGAGGCTGCTCTCCCTGTTCCCGAAACACAGGGGTTTGGTCCAGATCCCGCTGCTCACCACACAGAAAGCCTGTCACTGAGACGACGCTTACTGCCAATGAGGAAGGCATGCATCAGGAGCTGCAGGCCTGGAGATGGGAGGTCAGCTTCAAATCCATCTTCCTGACTGACTGTATAGCAGGGAAGAAGTGTGACTGTGTGTAAGGAAAACAGGAATTAGGGAGAGTGAGGAAGAGGAGTTGGTCAGGAGGAGGCAGGTGGCTGGTCAGGCACTCATGATGGGTGAGGGGTTTGGCGTCTCACTGTCCAGATGCCGTGATCTGGTGAGTCTCTCTTCCTTCACACTACCCGGGAGGCCTGATGGTCAGTTTCCTGAGAAAGGAACTCAAGACAAATGTCAAGTTCTCAAGTTTCAAGACCACAAGGATCCATTTCTATGTTATTCAGAGAAACCATGAACATCAGTTCTATGGGACAATCGGGCCAGTTCAACACCAGATCTGATCTGCCACGACACCTGCTGCTCGGCCCTCAGATAAAGCCCAGAGTCCAGTGTCCTCTCCCCGACCCCAGCCTGGCCCCACACCCACACCCCCCCACTTCACCCTGGGCCTCAGTGCTCTCCCACTGCAGAGGGGTCAGGGAGCTGCACACGCCCCGCGTGCACCTGGGCACGTGGTGTATTTCAGATGCACCTGGTGTCACTGTTCGCACAAACCCAAGTGGGAAGAGATCCAAATTCTCGTTCACCACAGATGGATGAGGACGTCCCAGCAAGTCCCTCAGTGGAGTCAGCCAGCACAAGGCGAGTGAGGGACCTCCGGAGACATGAATGGGTCTCAGACAGTGTGTGAGTGGATGAAGCAGGAAAAACACATGCTGCTAGTTAATTCATTTATGTTGAGCTCAAAATAGTCCACATCAGAAAGACTGTTTGGGGCTGCAGGAATTCCGTGGACAATTGCAAACAAGGCAAGGGAAGGAGGACCAGAGAGGTGAGGAGGACGCTCCCTTCGGGGACGGAGAGAGTAAGACCTGGCATTGCACACGGGACGGGGGGCCTGTCGAGGCACCTCTTTGCTTCTGAGAGTCTGTTTTCATGGACAGTCTTCTACAAAATGTACATGGCAGCTTTTTAGGGCCAGGGTCACCGGGATTTGTCTTTACACCTCCCCAGCCCGGGAACCACCACCTCTACCAGCCCCGTCCACACAGTTGAATCTCATCTTAAGTTCTCTGGAGCCCGACCCCCCACGCACACCCTCCTGGTCTGGGCGTCTCACCTGCATCCGCACAAGTGCCTCAGGAGGGTGGAGTGTCTGGTGCTCGGCACTGGAGGCTCAGCCCACACTGAGCCGGACAGTCGCAGGCCTCCTGGATGAATGAAGCATGAACGAATCCCGATCCTGTTACCACAGCTTCTCCCCAAGCATCCCCAGCAGAACGTTGTGTAAAAACCACACCAGGATTCGTACATGCCAGAGGACTGAACTTCTGCGTGTTGAAGATAATTCATCTTCCTGAATCACTGCCGATCTGCCATGTGGTTAACCACGGAATAAACATGGGGGAGAGTGTAAGCACCGCCCTAACAACCTCACGCTTCTTCCGTTACCCTTTAAAATTACAGGGTACTGACTTCATAATTGTGTTTCTCTTGTAAATGAGACTCTCATGGAAAAATCAGCTATGTAGGTGACAGCTTTGTAAACCTTTAGATTGAAATGTCACTTCGATTATTTCAAGTGTAAAAGTGTTTCAGCTTTTTTGAGGTATAATTGATACTCAGAGAGCTGCACACATTTCATGTGTACACTTTGGTGAGGATTGACCTGAGCAAACACCTGTGAAACCATCACCAAATCAAAGCAATCGAGGAATTCTGCACCTCCTGGAGGCTTCCTTGCGCCTGTGCCCGTGGTGAGGACACAGCACGAGATCTTCCCTCTCAGCCAGTCGCAAACAGCCAATAAGAAAATAACACCAGGCCTCCTGGTGAACACACACCTGTAATTTAATTGTTGATCTTTTAACCTGGCATTCACATTCTTCATTGAGAATACGGCAAAGACTTTAGAAGTCATCTAAAGTATCAGTAATTTGAAGTCCTTTAATACAAAAAGTATAGAATATTACCTTTCGTCACATAGCAATAGGGAAATGAAAAAAGAAAATTGACTTATTTTCTTTACTGGCTAGGAAAATATTCTTAAAAAGATACGTGCAGGTGAATCTAACAAATAACAAATTTATTTCTTTACGTAGATAAATATAAGGTTAGATCCGTGTAAATAAATGAAGCCATTAATGGTAGAGTCCCACAGATCACAGAACTGACCCCGCATCCAGCTCTGCTCACGATTTCAGGGAGTCATTTCCAGGCGCAGGTTGAGCTGGAGAAGCTGGGGAACCTTGTAGCCCCACTGTCCTTCCTGCCTCATAGGGCCTCTGAGGGGTGCCTGGAACATCTCTCCTCTTGGTCTTTGAAGATCATTTCACTTATGCAACATTTTCCAGGTGCCATGGACCCGAGCCCAGAAACCATGGTACCAGAACAACCCGAGAGCTGGGGTCACCCGAGAGAGGGCAGAGGGTAGACAGTGGCTCCCCAGGAGTGAGCCGAGACCCAGGGTCACCCGAGAGAGGGCAGAGGGTAGACGGTGGCTCCCCAGGAGTGAGCTGAGAGCAGGGGTCACCCCCAGGAGTGAGCTGAGAGCCGGGGTCACCCAAGAGAGGGCAGAGGGTAGACAGCGGCTCCCCAAGAGTGAGCCGAGAGCCGGGGTCACCCCCAGGAGTGAGCTGAGAGCCGGGGTCACCCGAGAGAGGACAGAGGGTAGACAGTGGCTCCCCAGGAGTGAGCACCAGGCACTGTCAGGGGTTCTCTCCCCAGCACATTTACAAGGGACTCGATGGGTTCTTCTTCCTTCAGGAGCAATCCCAGTGGGCAGAAGGAGGGGATGGGAGGCCTGGCAAACGCTCCTCCCCAGTTCCATTCCAAGCTCCACGGGGCTCCGGCAGGCCCCATGTCATGTGCAGATGAGGGATTAGGGTTCCTGCCTAGCCTCGCTGCTCTCAGGCCCTCATGGGCTCCTCTCCCCACCCCCCATGCAGCCGGCAGACCCTGCTCCCACCCAGCTGTTCTCAGTGTTTCTCTTCCTTCCTGGATGACGCCCTACCTGGGGCACCCATTCCTGTGGCACCCCAGCCCTTCACTGCAGCACGCATCCTGTCACCTCCACAGTGAGACCATCCTGGAACCATGATCAGCCCATCAGTTTCATCCACCCTCCTCCTAGCCCATTTTCTGTGCTTATTTATTGTCCCCCAAACTCCTGCCTATGATTTAAAACTAAGTGTGAGTCTAGTCTGTTACAATGATATGGATTCCAGATCTTCGGAATCAAAATGCTCCAAGGTTTAACTCACAAACTTGTCTTCTTTATTTTGCATTTTATGTGAATGCCTTTGGTAATACCATCATCGGTTGCGCCGATGGAGGGAGCAAAGATCTCATGGTGTTGGTTAAAGGGAGTGTGGCCCAGGGCCTGAGGTCTGAGAAGGAGCTTATTCCTCGGCGAGGTGGAAATAACACAGACTGCAAAGCCCACCTTGGGGGCACCACAGAGGAGAAAGCAACCACATTACTGAGAGGCCACAGAATAACTGAGCTCGTTTAGGGGTGAGAACGAGGCTGCATCTCTGCCCTTTCCCTCTCCCCTGCCCTCGTTCTCTCTCTCTCTCTTTTTCTCTTTCTTCCTTTCATCTGGGTCTAACTGGGCTCATTTGTCTTCAGCATCCCTAGGAAACTTCATGAAACCAGTGTTATTATGGTCAATTTGCAGTTTAAAAATTCAGTGCAGAAAGGTTAAACAAATTGCTCAAGTTTGCCCAGCCAATATCTGGCAGAGTCAACGGCACTGGAATTCAGATGTGGCTACATGTTTTGTGGTCTTTCTATTCTTTCTGATACATAAAGTTTTCATTTAACGAGACTTATAATGCATAACACGGTTTTGAAAGGTGAAGACAAAGTGAGGTGCACACTAAGGGGCAGCCTCCCCTGCAGGAGTGAGGTGTGAGCGCTCCCGGGAGCCGGCAGCCAGCAGCAGGCTGGGCCTGAGGACAGAGCCTGTGATTCCATCCATGATTTACCAGTGCTTTCAGCTTTGAACACGCGTTAAATAAATAGAGCTGTTTTCAAAATTAAATGAACAATACATTCTTTTCAGCATTTCCACCTAATTGCAATTCCTTTTTCTTTTATTCATGAATTCAATAGTCTATGCTTTTTGAAAACTGATATTCCCTGTAATGAAGCCCTGTGGTTTCACTGAGTGTCGGGTTTGAAATGTTGTAAAATACATGTAACACTCATCCCATTCAAAAGGTGTAGAAATGGATTACTAAGGGGTACTCAGGGGAGTTTTGCTTGAAAGCTGAGGCAAAATCATAGTTGATGCAGGTGAAAATATTTAATTTAATAACCTTTAATGAATAATTCAGTTTTCAGGTTACATGAAAGCGACACCTTTATTTGCATTACACATCTCTGCCCCCAGTCATGTCAATGTGTCTTTCCTGAATGCAGTTTTAGGATAAGGACAATCCTTGGAAATCCACCTTCCAGAAGGTTCCACTGTTGCGGCTTTGGGATCAGGAAAGGGGATTTGCAGGAAGGGACAATTGAGAGGGCTTCTCCCTGCTATGGAGACACACAGCTGTCTGTACTTCACGGGACCCCCTCCTTCAGATCCAGAAGACACTGAAAAGAAACGCAGGGCTTTGAACCTGGGCTGGGGCTCCCGGGGCTGGGCGGCTGCTGCCTCTCGCTGAGGGAATCCACACTCTCGAGGCAGCACCTCGCAGAGCAGGTCACCTCGACTGCCCCATGATGTCCACGAGGCTTGTTCCTGTCTTACTACGATCGAGAAGACAGCATGTGATTTTATGAACACCCCGTAAAGAAAACCTGAAAACCGTGTTCAAAGAAATGCCATTGAGCAAAAGGGCAGCTGTGGACCTGGCAGGTGGGGCCTGCGGTGCCTGAGGTCACGGCCAGCAGCCCCGGGAACGGCTCCGTCTCAAGGACATCTTAAGGCCAGTAGGGGCATTTGGGACGGCAGAGGCCTCACCCTGAAAGTGGTGGTTTCCACAGCTGGACACGTCCACAGGACCTCAGAGGGGAGGGTCAGAGCTGAGAGCTGAGATCCAAGCCGCGGTGTGGGTGAAGAAGGAGCGGGCAGGGATCGCTCTCCGGGAGAGGCCTGGATCTGGGCCTGAGCAGAGCCGCTGCGGACCAGACACAAGTGGCCACGGCAGCCAAACCAGATTCCCGGATCCCGGCCGACGGCCTTGGAATCCGGGTCACAGAGCCTTTCTCACGCGGTTTTCATTTTGCCTGGCATGGATCGAGTTTCTTAGTCTACAAACGTACAAGGGCTCACTTCAAGGCCACAATCCATCAACACAGCCAGCCAGGCTCATGCTCTCAGTCAATTTTCTTACTTTAAAAACCTATTTTACCTCAGCCTGCAGTCCCTGAGATGGATGGGTGTGAGCAGAGCTGTGAGGAAAGCAGCCCCTACTTGTGAGAAACACCTGCGCCTCACTGGGCAGACTGCAGGTGCGACCCACGCAGCCTGCAGGTGGGAGGCGGGACCGGGCTGGCTCAGAGGTCGGGCATGGAAAGCCATGGCCGAGGCTGACATCCACTCACTCCCCCCACAGTCCTCTCAGCTGGACAGCAACACACACCCACACTCTCATGCCAGTTTGCACACACAGCCATGATCATTGCACACACACGCACACACAGGCTGCTGCACAAGTCACACCTACTCATTCACACTCATGCACACTTACATGATAGATGCAAAATCCTTGTGTTCCAGGGGAGGATGTGAGGACGCAGGGGTGTGTGGCTGTCCATCCCACCGTGAGGGTGCAGGTGTGTCTGTACTCCTCCGTGCTGGGTCCTGGGGTGTGTGTGCAGGTGTGTCTGTCTCCACCTCTGCACCAGGTCCTGGGGTGAGTGTGTGGCTGTCTGTCCCACCGTGAGTGTGCAGGTGTGTCTGTACTCCTCCACACCAGGTCCTGGGGTGAGCATGCAGCTGCCCGTCCCGCCGTGCGTGTGCAGGTGTGTCTGTCTCTCCTCTGCACTGGGCCCTCACTCTGCTGCTCCCCCATTTTGTGGCTGGGAAAATTGTGATATCTGTGATTTTTCTCATCAGTCACAGCTGGAACTTGCACGACTCTGTCTCACACCCATTCACACAGCCGTGAGGACATCGATGTGCAGCCTTGACCTCCTGCAGCACATTCATCAGGCTCCCGTCGCCGCTGGGCCATTGTCAGGGCCTGGTTGCCCACCTGGCTGAAGCCTCCCCGTCATCACACCCCTCACCGGAGCAGCCCCAACTCACAGGCTGTTAGTTGTCACCATCAAGCACACCAGAAATTTTAAAATGATTTCTCTAAGCCAGGCACAGAAAGGCAAACATTGCTCTCTCTCTCTCACTAATTTGTCAGATTTAAAAATTGAAACAATTGAACTCATGGACATGGGGTGGGGAAGGACGGTTGCCAGAGGCTGGAAGGGGTAGCGGGGCTGGGAGAGGTGGGATGGTTAATGGGTGCAAAAATAGAAAAATGAGTAAGACCTGGTGTTCGATAGCACAACAGGGGGGCTACAGTCAGTAAGAACTTGACTGTGCATTTTAAAATAACTTAGGGAGTGTAGTTGGGTTGTTTGTAACTCAGTGGATAAGTGCTTGAGGGGACAGACGCCCCGTTTTCTGTGATGTGCTTACTTCACACTGCATGCCTGTATCCAAACATCTCACATACCCCATAAATTCATACACCTATGTGGCCACAAAATTTAAAAAAATCATTTATCTAAGGATAAAAGTGAAGTTCCCCTCGTTTCATGCAGCTTCTCTTCAGTGCTTTTGTTTTTCGAGATGAACCTTCCTCACTGGTATTGTTGGCACCAGGAGTCTGTTCGGGACAAGCTCCCGCCATTTCTCACCACTCCCAACTTCGGGGGAGTCTCTCTAAACACACGTGTTTTGTGGTATTCGGCTGACATTCTGACTACTGTAAGAAATCAATGCATGACATACAAATTCACACAATTTTGGGGAGGGAGAGACTGCAGGTTATGCTTTCAAAAATTTTCATGATTTTAGATTGTTTTTTCTTTTTAGAAGTTTTCTTTTTACGTGAGATATTTGACTCAAGCATTGTTAAAAATGCAACAACATCATAAAAGTTTGGTGGTTCAAAAAATAATGATGACACAAAACTCTAGTGCCTCTACACTTGGACAGTTTTAATTTTTTAATTTGGTAAATCTGGTTACAGAAGCCAAGTGATTTTTCAGGCACACCAAGTTTTCAGCGCTTGGCAGGAAGTAGAAATGAACATGTCTAGAATTTTCCACCATGCAGACCTTCAGAGCATGTGTGCCTATGTCTCTATGTGTATGTATACACATATGTGCAGACGTGTTTTTGTGTGTGTATGAATGTGTATCATGTGTGTACATGTGTGTTATTCATGGATTGCTTTTGCTAAGCAACAGATAATGTAGTGATTCCAAAGGAGTTTCAAGCTCATCTTTATTCTTTTTTTATTTTGCTGAGTAAAAAGTACAGCTGTAGCGGAACGTCCTCCTTAACTCACTGTGCGAGACGGATGTCACACGGATGACTATAAAACGTAGCATGCATGACGTATGCAATTTATAGAAAGAAAACCAGATGGAAATAAAAGAAGAATAAAATTGGCATAAATGACCCCAAATCACACCTGAAACACACTCTGTGGCCACTGATGGCTTCGGGCGCTCTGCGTTCGGGAGGCCTGGAAAGTCCCAGCTGCGAACATCTCCGCGGCCCCGTGACTCGGTTCACCGCATTGCTCAGACATCCACACCTCCCGTTACTTTACCTTAAGCCTTGACTTATTTTTCACCTTTTAAAGTTAAGATCCGTGATCAGTGAGTGCCACTCTGTGGGGAGTCACGTGTTTGAGATGGGAATTTCCACAGGCAGCTGAGAGAAGAGGATGGAGTGGGTGTCCCTCCGAATGCTGGTGTCTGATGCCTCAGTGAAGGCGAAAGGGTTGATCCTGAGAGGAGAAGAATGAGCTCATTTGTGGAAGAAATGATAACTGCTGACCACAATACAGGCCTTCAGGAGTGGTGCTGAGTCCAGGGAGCATGTATTAAATGCCATTTATGTGGCAAGCACAAAGCTAAGGACTGTCCAGTCTGTGGAGAGTAAATCTCCTTCCTGCCTTGCAGGCTGACAAAGTCCAATCATTAGTGACCATTCATGCCAGGAAGGTGGAGCTGCCTCCCCAGATGCAAACAAATCCTGTGGCTTTTCCCTGGTAGCCTCGGTGGTGGGTCCCGGTGGGGAAACAGTGACAGATGAGGGTGATTCCCAGGGGTCCTGCGAGAGGCCATGGTCGGAGGGCTGGAAGGAGGCGGGAAAGGTGCTGGTTCATTCACAGCTCCAGGTGGGCTGGAGGCATCCAGGCGGGACTGTGCCTGGGAACACAGGTGCCACCCACGGGGAGCTGCTGTTCTAGAGACGGCCATGGGCACCTCTGGGAACCCAGGAGACCCAGTGACCCACAGCTTTTATCACCTGGCTTCACAGATGGGATCTGGGACTTGGCAGTTAAACCGCTTAGGGAGGTCCCATGACTGCCAGGTGGGAGGGCTGGATTCGAATCCCAGAGGGAGGTCGCCTCCCCTTCCGCCATCGTATCCCCGACTCACTGCCTCTCCACCCTGGAGATGGGGAGAGGGAAGAGCTTCGGAGACCAGGGTGGGTGGGTGTGTCCCTTCACCCCGGGGACTGAGGCCTCCCTCCTCCCCGTGACATGTGACCCCCAGGGCCTGCAGGTGCCCAGACAGCCCAAGCTCACGGCACCCTACAGGGAAGCCTTTGATCAGGTATGGAAATCAGGGCTGAGAGTCGATATCCTAAATCAACCTTTAATTTCCAGAAGTGCTTTAAGGCCCACTTGAAAAGGGAAGGAAAAGGCAAAAGTTTATGGTGGGGGTGGGGAGTCCCGTTGGCCACAGCCTGGCCACTGTCACCACTTCAGATGGTCACTGTGGCACTGGGACCAGTGCTTTTGAAGGACAGACACACTGGCTGGAGCTTTGGAGACTGACAACCTTGACCCCTGCCAGGCGTCCTAATTACAGCCTGGAGGCGCTGGGACAATGCACTCCCAGCTCTTGTTTGTTTGTTTGTTTTGAGACAGAGTCTCACTCTGTCGCCCAGGCTGGAGTGCAGTGGTGCAATCTCACTGCAACCTCCACCTTCCAGGTTCAAGCAATTCTCCTGCCTTAGCCTACAGAGTAGCTAGGACTGCAGGTGGGTGTCACCACACCCAGCTAATTTTTGCCTCGGCCTCCCAAAGTGCTGAGATTACAGGTGTGAGCCACCGTGCCCGGCTAAACTCCCAGCTCTAATTCCGGTTTCTCTCTGGAGTTTTGTTCTCCTCAGTTGTTGACTCAGCAAAGATGAATCCAACCTTTTAGAGAATAAAAGTCAATGGGGTTCATTCCACCAGCCAACTGAAGCAGAGAGGGTGCGAACGAGGAACATCCCACACAGAAAATTGAGACCCACAGAGGACAGAGGGGCCCCAGACACCTGGGGCCGCTGAGTCTGCAGAAAGTGAATCCAGCCTGCAGGGCTGAGGCTGCTCAGATGTAGCAAAACTTGAAACGCCACTGTTGAGTTTTCTTCCCGGGGAGGATGGACCCAAGAGGCCGTTCCCCACTTGGACGGCAGCCAGTGGTTTGCACCCCAGATAGTGGCCCTGGCTGAAGGGTCATCTGTGTCCATGCACCCCACGTACAGTTACAGACACACACGTGACCTAATGTGAGGAGGAGAGAGGTGCAGAGCCCACAGGAGGGAGAGCTCAGCGGGAATTGATGGAGAGGAGGACTCAGCTCCCTGTGGCCCAGACCTGGCTGACCATGTGATGGCCGCTCTCCGCCCATGCTGGGGGACACAGGCAGGTGGTGTCCGCCCCACGCCTGTCCAGCGGAGTCTTACTACCAAGCATGCCCCAGGTTTACCTGCCCAATCTCAGGTGCTGCAGCAGTGACCTGTCCACCCACTGTGAGCTGCTGGAGCCCTGGTACGGGTCCTTCAGCCTCTGCACTGAAGCTTCCTTATGTCGTGTCAGCAGCAGGCTGGGCGCACTGCCGTCAGGATGAAGAGCATTGCCCTGGGTACACCTGGGCAGAGCAGAGGTGTTGGCTCCTGCCGATCACACGCCTGTGGAGGACCCAGCTGCCCTGCAGACGCGCCTGTGCATGCGTGGAGCATCATGAGGGTCACTGGGCAGTGCACACTCCTAGGCACAGCCACTGAGAGTCCGCTGCTCGGTGAGGACAGCATGGATGAGGGGCTCAAACAGGGGCCTCCCAGCCAAGCCAGGCATGTGGAGGAAAGTGAGGGCTTCAGCCAGCTGTCAGGCCCCTGGCTGGTGACACAGGAACCCTGGACCCTGCCGGTGGGCCCAGAGCAGCGATCCTGGAGCACCATGGTCAGGACACCTCTGCGCCAACAGCTTGGCTGCCGGCCACACCCCGGCCGAGGCGGCCTTCCCTCCCCCAGGCTTCGCTCACTCCAGACAGATTTCTTCCTGACTCGGGTGTCAACCTCCCCTGTCCAGAGCACTGACTTTGGAAAACGTAAAATTGTAAACTCTCTCTGCCTCTTCCAGGTGTAAATCTTCTTCCAGCCACTGGCCAGTTCCACAGCCCAGGAAATGTCCTTCTTCAGGCCTGGGAGCTGCCTTGGAAAATGAGGCATCGAGAAAGAAATGGCCCAGCCCCCCAAGCCCTGTGGAGGGTTAGGGGGCCTCTGAGGAGGGTTAGGGGGCTGGCCCCCTGCTGAGGCCTCCAGGGCTCTCCCACCTGCTCGGTGGCCCCTCAGGCTCCTCAGCCCTCCTGCCATGTGCTGCAGAGGAGCTGGGGGCTCTCCCTTACCGCATGGTCTTGAATAAAGCCTTTCTTGCTTGTTTAAAACCGTCTGATACAATTTTTGTCACTCCAATTACCTGTTCTCATAAGAGACTGTGCATTGGGGTGGTCATCCACACCCTGTGGGTGGAGGCGGGGTCCTGAGGCCCACCTGCATCCGTCCCCAGGGTGCACACAGAGAGTTTTGGGGTCACCAAAGAAGCATCCACTCGACACTAAGAAATAAAGGATGAAAAAAGCAACACCTACAAAATTTAAAAATAAAGGTAAACGAAATGGCACCTAAGAGTGTGATTAACATAAACGAGAATAACAGATGTGCACACATGCACGTGTCCGCCCTCCCAGGTAGAGACACCCCTAAATCACATCAGAACCTTCTACAGGGCCAGAGCGGTGACAGCAAGGGACACAGAGAATGGGGATGAAGGGAAAGGACAAAGAAACCCACCTGGAACAATGGGTTACCTTGGTGGAGACAGCATCCTGTCTGGTGGGGCAACCGGGGCAGTGACCCCTCCAGGTACCTAGGCAGAGAGTCACACAAGGGGCTGAGAACCCACAATATGAGAGGGTGGGTTCTCGGCTGAGCTCCAGGAGTGATTTGGGGATTAAGAGAATGGCCACATCAGGAACCCCACCCCTGAGGTCCCCTGGCCCCCACCATGCTGCATTCCTGGGTCATTCCAGGCCCTAGCTGCTGTTGCCACCCCTGCTGCTGCAGAAACCCGGGTCCCATTTAAACCCTGATATGGTTTGTCAGTTTCACCACCCAAGTCTTATCTTGAACTGTAGCTCCCACAATTCCCATGTGTTGTGGGAGGGACCTGGTGGGAGGTGATTGAATCATGTGGGCAGGTCTTTCCTGTACTGTTCTCATGATGGTCTCATGAGATCTCATGGCTTTCTAAGGAGGAGTTTCCCTGCACAAGCTCTCTTCTCTTGCCTGCCACCATGTGAGACGTGTCTTTCACCTTCTGCCAGGATTGTGAAGCCTCCCCAGTCAAGTGGAACTGTAAGTCCAATAAGCCTCTTTCTTTTGTAAATTGCCCAGTCTCGCGTGTGTCTTTCTCAGCGTCATGAAAATGGACTAATACAAACTCCCTCTGGTGAGGGCCAGTTGTGGCTGCTCAGCCGCTGTGGAAACCTGGGTTCACTGCCGCAGACTCAGTGGTGTTTCCAATTCCAGTTCTGGCCTGAGAGGTGATTGATGGGCTTTTGATCATAGAGTTAGAAATACACACATTTATATTAAGAAAGTAGCCAAGAAGCCACCACTGTGTGCCCCATAAAAAGTAAATGCTAATTTTTTTGTGAGAGAGCCGAGATCTCTGATGTGGCGTTTGGAACATGGAACCACTTGACAGGAAGGCAAGGCCCCAAAATGCAGCCCTGATGGAAGCTCAAACATCCTGGCAGGCAACAGAGCAGCAGAAATAGAAAAGGAGAAAAATAACAGAAAACCAAACGAGGAGCCACGGAGAAAGAAACCCAGGACGGAGCAGGTGCGGCTGTTACCTGAGGACGGAGCAGGTGCGGCTGTTACCTGAGGACTGAGCAGGTGCGGCTGTTACCTGAGGACGGAGCAGGTGCGGCTGTTACCTGAGGACGGAGCAGGTGCGGCTGTTACCTGAGGACGGAGCAGGTGCGGCTGTTACCTGAGGATGGAGCAGGTGCGGCTGTTACCTGAGGATGGAGCAGGTGCGGCTGTTACCTGAGGATGGAGCAGGTGTGGCTGTTACCTGAGGATGGAGCAGGTGTGGCTGTTACCTGAGGATGGAACAGGTGTGGCTGTTACCCATGAACTAAATGCAGCTCCACATCAGAGAAGAGAACACAGTGAATACAGCAGTGCTTGAATTAACAAACTTCACATTTAGAAACATACCTTCTATAGTCACAATTTCATTTGCCAAATTAGATACACTTTGCTGACACTTGTGTAGGTTTTATTGCTTTGGATGAAGGCAATCTATCATAGCATAATCGGTTTTGCCCTCCCACGGAGCTTCTCAGGACACTGTTTAATCAGACTTCCTTAAAGCTCCCCTAAAAGAGGTCTCCTCCCTCCCCGATACTGACATCTGAGAAACCCAAGCTGCTCACACAAATTCAAGATATTCATCATCTTTCCCAAATTTATGGCTCTGGCTCCTTTCACACCCTGACATGGGGCATTTTGGTCGGCAATGCCCTCCCAACCCCAGTGCCACCTCTGATCAAATTCCACCTGGTTCCTTAGCTTTCCTTTCCCATAAATATCATCGAAACACTCAGCTTGCCTCCTGATGGAGAGAGTGATTTTATGCAAATTTCCTTACTCATCATTAATTTTAAAGACCAACATTCATCAAGGAAGAAAAACTGTTTCTAAAAGGCACACACATCTTATATAAAACATTGCTTAATACAAGAAGATCTGATTTTGTGGGAACCATTGCTTTGAAGTGGTTTCTATATCCAGTAATTTGATGCTATTCTGTGGGACTTTAAGACAGAGAGCCTCTGCTAGCAGAACTGGGGCGGGCACACAGGGAACTGGAGTGGGCCCGTAGGAAACTGGAGTGGGCACACGGGGAACTGGGGTGGGCACACGGGGAACTGGGGTGGGCACGCAGGTTCAGAGCTGCCCACGTTTGTTCTCAGCTTGCACATCCCAGAATGCATTTTCACATCACGCTGTAACAATTACAGACGCCCTTCACAAGGTAAGGGCTGATAAATGTGCAATTCCGGGGAGTCTGAAATGAACATCTGGAAAGGAGAAGGCAGCCTGGCCAAATGAATGTGCTCATCAGACACACTCGCCAAGGTCTCCCTCATCTGGCAACCTTGTTCCTCCTAGAAGCAGGGGCCCCTCAGAGCCGCCAGAAGTTGGGGAGGGGCCTCCATAGACATCTGGCTGAGGCTTCACTCTGAGCCTCCTTAGCCATCAGCAAAGGGGAGTGGGGATGCAGCGAGCCTGGACCTTCCTGCAGGATGCAGCACGGGGGGGTGCGGGGTCACCTGTGGCCCCCCAAGCCCAGCTGTGGAAACCTGAGTTCATCCCTAACAGGAGCTGGGCTTCCCTTGGGATCTTCTTTCCTGACACACACTCCATGTCAAGGGGTCGCTAACACAGGACTGGCTTGGTGTCAGAAATAGCTGCAACCTTTTTGCACCCCTTCAATATGCAAAATCAGGGAGACAGTCACCGGAACTCTCCACACCCAGCGTCACCTCCACACAGACCCCACAGGGGCCCTCAGTCCAGCCTTGTGGACAAGTCCCCAGGCTGTTATGGTGTCAGAGGCAAAATTACAACAAATCTAGTTTAAAGACTGAATTGGCTTCTATTTGTGATTCTAGACTTGGGAACACCTGGCCTTGGAAGCAGGATGGGTGCAGTCAACTGAGCGATGGTGTCCCATGAACTGAGCGATGGTGTCCTGTTAACTGAGCAATGGTGTTTCGTGAACTGAGTGGGGGTGTCCTGCAAACTGAGCAGGGTTGTCCTGTGAACTGGGTGGGGTGTCCTGTGAACTGAGTGGGGGTGTCCCATGAACTGAGCGATGGTGTCCCGTGAACTGAGTGGGGGTGTCCCGTGAACTGAGTGGGGGTGTCCTGTGAACTGGGTGGGGTGTCCCGTGAACTGAGTGGGGGTGTCCTGCAAACTGAGCAGGATTGTCCTGTGAACTGGGTGGGGTGTCCTGTGAACTGAGTGGGGGTGTCCCGTGAACTGAGTGATGGTGTCCCGTGAACTGAGTGGGGGTGTCCCGTGAACTGAGTGGGGGTGTCCTGTGAACTGAGTGGGGGTGTCCCGTGAACTGAGCGATGGTGTCCCGTGAACTGAGTGGGGGTGTCCCATGAACTGAGTGGGGTTGTCCCGTGAACTGAGCGATGGTGTCCCGTGAACTGGGTGGGGTGTCCCGTGAACAGAGTGGGGGTGTCCCGTGAACTGAGCGATGGTGTCCCGTGAACTGAGCGATGGTGTCCCGTGAACTGAGTGGGGGTGTCCCATGAACTCAGTGGGGGTGTCCCGTGAACTGAGCAATGGTGTTTCGTGAACTGAGTGGGGGTGTCCCATGAACTGAGCGGGGGTGTCCTGCGAACTGAGCGGGGGTGTCCCATGAACTGAGCGGGGGTGTCCCGTGAACTGAGTGGGGGTGTCCCATGAACTGAGCGGGGGTGTCCCGTGAACTGAGCGATGGTGTCCCGTGAACTGAGCGGGGGTGTCCCATGAACTGAGCGATGGTGTCCCGTGAACTGAGTGGGGGTGTCCCATGAACTGAGCGGGGGTGTCCTGCGAACTTAGCGGGGGTGTCCCGTGAACTCAGTGGGGGTGTCCCGTGAACTGAGCAATGGTGTTTCGTGAACTGAGTGGGGGTGTCCCATGAACTGAGCGGGGGTGTCCTGCGAACTGAGCGGGGGTGTCCCATGAACTGAGAGGGGGTGTCCCGTGAACTGAGCAATGGTGTTTCGTGAACTGAGTGGGGGTGTCCCATGAACTGAGCGGGGTTGTCCCGTGAACTGAGCGGGGGTGTCCCGCGAGCTGAGCGATAGTGTCCCGTGAACTGAGGCTCTGCAGATAGAAGAGCCTCTGGAGAGCAGGAATGAAACACAGAAGGCAGGTGGGTCGTTTCCAGGCTACTTTCCTTCAAGGGTTAAAAAATAGAGGGCTTCTGTGTTAGGTGGACTCAGGTTGATTTCAATGGCCTGAGATTTTTTGAAAACTGTCCATTTCCAACGTCAGTTTGGTGATGTGGGCCTTAGCACAGGGGACTCCATTCTGGCTTGGTCGGTTCTGCTGGGCCTAGACCAGGACACTATCCAAAGGCTGGTCCAAAGTTGTTAACCAATTTTGTTTAATAACCGCATTATTGCATACTATGGAGATTAATTTGGTATTAATTTGCAGTAGTTTGCTTTAAGATACGATTTTAATTACATTCTCCAGAACAACCACTGAGCAAGTAAATTAAAAAGGAGTAAAAGAAACATCAAAATAATTAAAATTGTATAAATGAAATATCTGTTTAACATAAAAGTAGGCAGTAAAAGAAGAGTAAAGAAACAAAACAGATACAAGCCATAGAGAAAACAACTGGTAAAACAGTGGACGCAAATCCCACCTTTTCAGTGATCACATTCAGTGGAATCGCGGCCAGAAAGCAAAGGGCGGCAGAACAGGAAGCAGCGCAGCCCAGAGATGGGCTTCCCGCAGCGGAGAGAGATGCCGGGGCGGCGATGCGCTTCCCACAGCGGAGAGAGACGCCGGGGCGGCGATGGGCTCCCCGCAGCGGAGAGAGACGCCAGAGCCGCGATGGGCTCCCCGCAGCGGAGAGAGACGCCGGGGCGGCGATGGGCTCCCCGCAGCGGAGAGAGACGCCAGAGCCGCGATGGGCTCCCCGCAGCGGAGACAGACGCCGGGGCGGCGATGGGCTCCCCGCAGCGGAGACAGACGCCGGGGCGGCGATGGGCTCCCCGCAGCGGAGACAGACGCCGGGGCGGCGATGGGCTCCCCGCAGCGGAGACAGACGCCGGGGCGGCGATGGGCTCCCCGCAGCGGAGACAGACGCCGGGGCGGCGATGGGCTCCCCGCAGCGGAGACAGACGCCGGGGCGGCGATGGGCTCCCCGCAGCGGAGACAGACGCCGGGGCGGCGATGGGCTCCCCGCAGCGGAGACAGACGCCGGGGCGGCGATGGGCTCCCCGCAGCGGAGACAGACGCCGGGGCGGCGATGGGCTCCCCGCAGCGGAGAGAGACGCCGGGGCGGCGATGGGCTCCCCGCAGCGGAGAGAGACGCCGGGGCCGCGATGGGCTCCCCGCAGCGGAGAGAGACGCCGGGGCGGCGATGGGCTCCCCGCAGCGGAGAGAGACGCCGGGGCGGCGATGGGCTCCCCGCAGCGGAGAGAGACGCCGGGGCGGCGATGGGCTCCCCGCAGCGGAGAGAGACGCCGGGGCGGCGATGGGCTCCCCGCAGCGGAGAGAGACGCCGGGGCCGCGATGGGCTCCCCGCAGCGGAGAGAGACGCCGGGGCCGCGATGGGCTCCCCGCAGCGGAGAGAGACGCCGGGGCCGCGATGGGCTCCCCGCAGCGGAGAGAGACGCCGGGGCGGCGATGGGCTCCCCGCAGCGGAGAGAGACGCCGGGGCGGCGATGGGCTCCCCGCAGCGGAGAGAGACGCCGGGGCCGCGATGCGCTCCCCGCAGCGGAGAGAGACGCCGGGGCCGCGATGGGCTCCCCGCAGCGGAGAGAGACGCCGGGGCGGCGATGCGCTTCCCACAGCAGAGACGCGTCAGAGTCCAACGGGGAAAGGTGGAAAAAGACGAACCGTGTAAACAATAATCAAAAGGGACATCGGGTGGCTGAATGCAGACAAAATAGACTTTAAGCCAAAAGTCGTTGTTTGAGACACCAAAAGGACATTTTATAAAAACAAAAAGGTCAATCTCTCCCAAGACGTAACAAATATGGACACATATCACCCAACACCAGAGCCCAAAATATGCAAAGTAAAAACGGACAGAATTAAAGGGAGAAATATATGGACACACATCGCCTAACACCAGAGCCCCAAAATACACAACGTAAAAAACGACAGAACTAAAGGGAGAAATAGACAATCTGACAGTGAACGTTGGTGACTTCACTGGTCCTACCTTGAATGAGTGATGGAGCCACTAGGTAGAAGATCAACAGACAGGAATGAACCCCGTGAACCAACCAGTGGATCCAGCATATGAGCCTCTGCCAAACGGTCCACGCAGAGCCGCAGCCACGTTCCTCTCGAGAGGAGAGCGAGACATTCTCCAGGGTGGACCACACACCAGAGCCTGAAGAAGCCTCAGGAAATGGAGAAGGACTGAGATGCGAAAGTTATGCTCCCTGAACAAAACGGAATGATAGGAGGAATCAATACCAGGAAGGAACTTGGGAAATTCAAAAACAGGTGAAACAATGCAAATAACCAAAGAATTCAAGAACACAATTTAATAAAATTATAAAATAACTGAATACTAATTAAAAGGCAAACACAAGATACTAAAATTTATGGGAAATAGTACTTAGGAGAAAATTTAAAGGTAAAAATGCCTGTATTTAAAAAGAAATATTTCAAGTCAATAACGTAATCTTCAATCTTAAGAAATGAGAAGAATAAACACAACTCATGTGCAGCAGACACAAGGAAGGAAATAAAGATACGATGGGGGGTAAATTAAATAGAGAATTAAACAACAGTAGCAACAATTCTTGAAACCAAAAGTTAGTTTTTGAAAACCTCAGCAAATTTAACAAACCTTTAGATAGGCTGACCAAGGAATAATAAAGATTAAAATTACTAAAATCAGCAATGAAATAAAGGGCATTACTACTGACCTTAGGAAATGAGAAGGATTATAAGCAAATATAATAAATAATTGTATGCTAAAAATTAGATAAACTAAAAGAAGTTGACAAATTTCTGGAAAATCTCCAAAAGAAATAGAAAATCTAAATAGAGCAATAACAGTAAAGAGATTGGATTAGTAATCAATAAACTTTCCACAAAGAAAAGGCCAGCCCCAGATAGCTTCATGCATGAATTCTACTAAATATTTAAAGAAGAATTAATACCAGTCACTCAAAACATGTCAAAAGGCCAAAACCAAAACAGAAGAAGAGAGAATAGTCTCAACTCATTCATTCCATAGTCCCAGGATTACCCTGGTACCAAAACTGCACAGAGAACTCACAAGATAATAATCGATATCCCTTATGAATAGAGATACAAATATTGGCAAAAATATTAGCAAATTGAATCCAGCAATATATAAGAAGGAATTATACACCATGAATGACTGGGATTAACTTCAGGAATGCACAGTTGATTTAACATAAGGAAACAAAGCAATACACTGTATTAAAAGAATTTTAAAAACCATAATAATCTCAAAAGATGCAAAAAATTCATTTGACAAAATCCAACATCTTTTTAAGGATAAAAGATGAATGAGCTAAACATAGAAGGAAACTTCCTCAATCTGATAAAATCCTTCTAAGAAAAGCCCACAGCACACTTAAATTTGAAAGACCAAATGCTTTCCTCTTAAGATCAGGAACAGTACAAGGACGTTCACACTCTCAACTTCTATTGAACATTGTCATCGATGTTCCTGTGAGGCAATCAGGCAAGGCAATGAAATGCAAGTCATCTGGGTTGGAAGAAAGAAGTCAAACTCCTGCGATAGTTTGCTGAGAATGATGGTTTCCAGCTTCATCCATGTCCTTGCAAAGGACATGAACTCATCATTTTTTATGGCTGCATAGTATTCCATGGTGTATATGTGCCGCATTTTCTTAATCCAGTCTATCATTGTTGGATGTTTGGGTTGGTTCCAAGTCTTTGCTATTGTGAATAGTGCCACAATAAACATACGTGTGCATGTGTCTTTATAGCATTAGGAGATATACCTAATGCTAAACGACGAGTTAATGGGTGCAGCACACCAACATGGCACATGTATACATATGTAACAAACCTGCACATTGTGCACATGTACCCTCAAACTTAAAGTATAATTAAAAAAAAAAAGAAGTCAAACTCTATTATGGATGACATGAACTTGTATATGGAAATCTCTAGAAACACACACACAATTTTAATGAATAAATGACTTCAGAAATGTTGCTGGGTACATGAACAATATACAAAAATCAACTGTAGACCTATATGATGGCAATAAAAATTTCAAAAATCAAATTAAAACAATTTCATTTACAATAGCATCGATGAATCAAATAGGAAGAAATATAACAAAAAAGTTATGACTTGTTACTGTAAACTACAAAACACTGTTTAAAAAATTAGATACATAGAATGATATTTTATGCTTATGGATTGGAAAACTTAACACTGTTAAGGTCAAATTGATCTGCAGATTCAACAAAATCCCTTTCAAAAATTTCAACTCAGCTGCTTTACTTCTAGAAATTGACTAGTTAATCCTAAAATTCATATGGAAATATAAGGAGCTACAAACACCAAAAACAATCTTAAAGAAAATTTTAAACAAAGTTGTTGGATTCGTGCTTCATGATTTCAAAGTGGCACAGCCAAGCTACAGTAGTAAAAACAGTATGACAGAGGCATAAAGATAGATACATACATCAATGAAATTGAACTGAAAGTCTAGAAATAAGCCCTTATATTTATGGCCAATTGATTTTTGACAAGTGTGCCAATGGAATTCAAGGAGGAAAGAATGGTCTTTACAACAAATGGTACTAGGACAACTGGATATCCACCTGCAAAAGAATGTAATTTGATTTCTACTTCACACCATATACAATTTTAATTCAAAATGAATCATAGGTCTAAAAGTAAGGTTAAAACTATAAAACTTTTAGCAGAAAACATAGGAGTACATTCTGTGTGACCTTGGATTTGGCGATGATTTATTAGAACTGACACCAAAAGCACAAGCAACAAAAGACACATCAGATAATTTGGACTTTATCACAATTTTGTAAATATTCAAAATAAATTTAAAGATTATCTTGCAGTTTCAAAAGACACCCTCAAGTATGTGTAAAGACAACACACAGAATGGGAGAAAATATTTGCAAATCACAAATCTGATAAAGCACTGTTATACAAATATATAAAGAATGCTAATAACCAGTGATAAAAAGAAATACAAGCAAATTAAATGAACAAAAACTAGATAGTTCTCCTAAAAAGATATACAGATGACCCATAAGCCTTTGAAAATGCTCAAAATTATTAATTAGGAAAATGCAAATTAAACCACAATAAAACATCACTTCACAACAACTACATTGACACGAGAGAGAGAGAGAGAGAGAGAGAGAGGGGTGAAAATATCAGAAGCTTCAATCATTGTTAATGGAATTGGAAAATGCAGCCACTTTGGAAAACAGTTTGGCAGATCCTCAAAACTGCAACAGAGTTACCATATAATTCAGCTATTTCATTCCTGAATGTATACTTAGGAGAACTGTGGTAATATTCACACACAAAAGCTAGTACACAAATGTTCATAGCAACATTTGGTATTGATCATAATACCAAAAAAAGGAAACACATCAAATGTTCAACAACTGATAAATGGAGAACCAAAATGTGGTATATTCATACAACAGATTATTATCAGCAATAAAAAGAAATGAAAAAATGTTGTAAAATAGTTGCATCATCAAAACATCACTTTAAATGAAATAAACCAAAGATTCTATTTACATGAAATGTTAAGATTCCATTTGCATGAAATGTCTATAATCAGCAAATCCACAGAGGCAGAAAGTAGATTTGTGGTCGCCAGGGCTTGGGGGAGAGGGAGGAAGGGGAATGACTGCTGTTGAGTCCAAGGTTCATTTTAGGATGATTTAAATGTTGTAAAATTATATAGCAGTGATGGTTGGACATCTCTATGAATACACTAAAAATGTTGAAGTGTATACTTGAAAGTGATGACGATCGTGGTCTGTGAATTACATCTTAACAAGCCTATAATTTAACAGAAATTTGCAGGTAGTCACTATTATTGGAATCATAACATAGAGAAGAACAATGAATAAGCTTCAAGAAACTGTGTTATGAATATGAATCTGGAACAAAGAATGAACGACGAGAACACATGGACACAGGAAGGGGAACATCACACACCGGGGCCTGTTGTGGGGTTGGGGGAGCGGGGAGGGATAGCATTAGGAGATATACCTAATGCTAAATGACGAGTTAATGGGTGCAGCATGCCAGCATGGCACATGTATACATATGTAACAAACCTGCACGTCGTGCACATGTACCCTAAAACTTAAAGTATAATCATAATAAAATTAAAAAAAAAAAAGACTGAAATACAGAGCCTGCAGCCTGAGTTCTAAGCTCCATTATATTTTGGCAGCCAATGACATACTGAACATCCAGTGGTGATTCTCCACCGTGTCTCTTCTGGACTCAAGGGTAGCCAATGATAGATACCGAACATCGGGTGGCAATTCTCTGCCGTGTCTCTTTTGGACGCAAGGGTGTGATGGGGATTTGCTGGGAACTTGTGCTTCCTCCATGGGTTAATGAGGGGCTAGTCATTTACAGACTGGTCGGGGGCAGTGCCTGACACTCAGGGGCCTGGGGCAGTAGGGAGGGTCAGATTTTGACATTTTAGGGAGTTTGGTATTGACTTGAGGTGAGAGAGGTCGCCGAGGACTGCGATGGTCGCTCTTGTATTTGAACAAAATGACTGCTGCCAAGGTGTAGGACTGATGGAGGGAGACCCTCAGTGTGGACAGCACTGCCCCAGACGCCTTGCAGCGTCACAGATGGGCACTGCTGCAGTCGCAAGGGGGTACCCACCACTGGCAGGAGCAGGAAAGGGCAAAGCAGGCAGCATCCAGGGCTCTCGTGACCAGGAGACAAGGAGAATGGAAAGGTGGTCACTGGGATTCTCGCCTGGGTGGCTCCAAAACTGGGGGCGTGGTTAACTAAGATCTGGAATTGGAGGGAAGAACCACATTTAAACATAAATGATCTTTTTAAATATAAGGATGATGATGATGACAGTGTGTGTCTGTTTTGATGCATGTCACATTAAAATCTGGGGGTCTGTGAGCCATGAAGTTGACAATTTCCAATAAGCATAAAGTGTGTTTCCTTAGCTGAGAAAATTATTTACAATAAAGGGAATGCTAATGTATGTTTCATTGCTATGTGCAAGGAAGCTGAAGTTACTGATACATAATTTCTCCCAAGGAGAATTGTGGCTTCAGTGGAGCCGAGAGATGTATCCTTGGGAAACCAGCATATTTAGATACAGCTTAAGAAACAGGTGCCCCTGAAAACACAACCTGAGCCCACTTGGAGACATGAGCAGCCTTTGACTATTTGGAGGCCCAAATAGACCTCCAGCAGCAGGGATGGGATGGGGCCCTCTGTGGAGCTTCGAGGGAGAGATATGGGCCACAGAGTGTAGATGGCTCTG
Organism: Homo sapiens; assembly: GCF_000001405.40. Lineage (NCBI taxonomy): Eukaryota > Metazoa > Chordata > Mammalia > Primates > Hominidae > Homo > Homo sapiens. Next base: position 97,090 of record NT_187647.1, read on the forward strand.
TGAAGACAGGAGGTGTTTGGAGAAAATAAAGGACAAAGTGGACAGAGGGATGGAGACACAGAGAGACAGATATACAGACACACAGACAAGATAGAAGGACAGGGGACAGAGGGGCTGGTTCTTCCCCCAACTCTTTGTTCCCTCTTCTTCTTTTGCAATGAGCTAAGCCATCCTCTTAAACTATAAAATAGTTGTCACGCATCCTGCAAAACTTTTGTTCCTTAAATTATGTTAGGGTGTAATTTTCTCACATCTCAGTCTTTCCAAAGAATATTTACTCTCCTTAGAAATTAATTACAAGTCCTTTTTATAGAGACTACTCCCTAGTTGAAAAAGTATTGCTGAAAAATTATATGCTGTCATTGACTTATGACTGATCAATTGATGTCATTTGACAATTATAATTCATACCGTATTGCCACTTACAGCTAAGTGTAGTTATTTACTTAGCACTAAATTGTTTTGAAGGTTACTTAGAGCAGTACCAATTTATTGTATGGGATGGTATAATGGCATTCGATGGCATAAAATACTACATGCCTTTATCATCCTTGTTATATTTTATTACAACACTTAATTTTCCATTGAAATATGTATGACAGCAATTTTGCTGCATAAAAGAGAATTTTGTATTTTAAAAGTATGACTTTCCCTTGAGAGATAACGTAATGCCTTTGAACGCGGCAGGAGCCCTGCACGATGGCTGTACATGTGGAGGCAGCGGGTGAAGCCTCAATCCTGTCACCTGCTCCGTAAACAGGCACTCGATGGGCTGGAGCACACACGAAGCTTCTCTGCAAACTCTGGCTTCCCACTCGGATATTCAGCAGCACACGGCCATTGTTAATGAGATGCTAAATGTTCTACCCTCAGAGCTGTGCCCCTCGATGACAGAGAAGGAATAGAAAGTAAGGTTTGATTGAATGGCATTTAGTTATCCGTGTTCGCCATGTTTAAACACCTCAGGCAGGGGTGGAGGGGGCTCCCTCTTCCTTTTTACACTTTGACTTTTTGGCTTGGACACTTGTGGCTCTGTGACAGTCCTGAGTGGCTTCATTTCTGGTGACTGCCTGTGGACGTGCTCCTGCCAGGCTCACCTCAGAGGAAGCAGAGGTCGCTGAGGTGTGCAGTCACTAGAGCTGTGGATGACTTCAGCCCCCAGGGCCCAGAGTACATGTTTGCCAAAATGTGGAGGCAACATGCATGGCCCTGAACACCAACTGAGAGTAAGACGGAGACCAAGAGCAACCAGCAGGAGTTTGACCTCTGGATCGAGCCATGCCTGAAGCCTCCCCTTTTTGAACTGTCCAGTTAATGAGAGTTCATTTTGTCCCTTTTTTGCATAAGTGCGTTTTAGCTGATTTCCCTCACTCGTAACCAAAGCTTTTTGATGCAGAGATGGTACTGGATGTGGGTCTGTTCATATCACAAGCTTCAAAGGGGCAATGAGCAGAGTTAAGTGTCTCCTGGCTGGAGAGGGTTGAAGCTTTGTCATGAGGTAGGAAGACTCCTGCCAGACCTCAACCTGGCAGGTGATAGCCCGTGGGGATCCCGACAGCTATGCATTCCCAGAGAAAGGGCAGCTCAGGGGAGTTTGTGGTTTGGAGAGAAATGGTGCGTCCAGCTGATGTCAGAGGAGACAAGGACGAGCTCCAGCCCCAGTTAGGTTCCCGGAGTGCACAGCCCACACTCCTGGGTGTGAGCAGGACGGGAGCCTGGAGCCAGGGCCAGCATTCACCCACAGTTAGGTTCCGGGAGTGCGTGGCCCACACTCCTGGGTGTGAGCAGGACGGGAGCCTGGAGCCAGGGGTCCTTCCAGTCCATGACAAGGAGGCTGGGCTTGCTCTGAACAGAGCCGGAGGCCAGACTGGCTTGAATGGGGGAAGAGGAGCAGCGGCCGGAGAAGTGTGGGGGTTGGGCGGGGTCGGAGGGCTTCCGAAGGGCTGACCGCATCTCTTAGATAACAAGCGGGAACAACGCGGGACCCACTAGGAGCAGGCGTTTGTCCCGGCCTTGGAAGCGGTGCTGGGACCCTTACTCAGGTCAGCAGGCCCGGAAGGCCATGGCCCCCATGGCTCCTGACTCAGAGCTGGACGAGGTTCTACGGTTCCAGGGTAGGATCGGTCCCTCCCACCATTTGTGCAGAGCCAGGGGCCTGCGAGACCCAGAAGAAAGCTGTGCCCTTGCTCCTGGCGGCTTGTCCCAAGTGGGCGGCTCTGGGCCTGGTCGCCCAAGGGCTTTGCGGCTGACATCCTTCTCTCCATGGCGCCCTGGGACCTGCCCTGCTCAGCGCCATTCCCTAGGTAACGGGGGGACCTGGGGTGTACTGCCAGGAGCAGGCGGAGGAGCAAGCCCCCTCTTCCCAGGCTCCACGCTTTAGGCCCTGACTGGGAGTGGTGCTCCCCGGCGTGGCCGTTGTCTCCTCAGCCTGGGGAGCAGGCCCTCTCTCCGGATGGCCGAAGCGTGTCCCTCAGAACTAAGCTCTGGCCAGGCAGACCTCTGTCCCCATGTCTGTTTATGAACCTGCACTGGGACCAGAAGTTAAGAATCCAAGCATTCAAAATAAAAGCCGTAAAAAAAATTCCTAAACTTAAGAAACTGCACATTTTCTGGAACGCACAGTTAGGACGGGTTTATGAGGGGCAGTGTAAAGCGTGTTGCAAAGCCCCCAAAACCTAAAAAGGACCCAGAAAGTATTGACTGCATCCTCCTGGATATAATCTATGTGCGTTGCAAGCGCTAACACCGCCTGGCCAGCGAGAATGGCTGCTTGCACATCCTGTGGGCTTTATGATTTACTCTCATAGAAAAGACACACATATCTAAAAACACATGTCACCAGCAGAGTTAATCACCTGTTGGACACACAATGCGCCGCACACCCCAGATCTGGAGCCGCCTCCAGGTCTGCAGAGCCTGGCGGGGTCACAGGCATCCATCTCTTCAAATGACGCTTTCTCATAATTCAACAGCCTTCAGCCTATGAACAATAATTTAGTTTTTGTAAAGAATAAAAAACACATCTTTTTATAAATTTGTTGAAAGGTAAAGTTCATTTTTTTCTCATTCCCCTCTTTTCTTTCCATCTCTTCTTGATGATTATTTTTTGAGGTTACTTTAATCCAGGATGAAATACAGCAATTAGAAAATAACATGCATTAAATCTTACAGTATATTAGAGAAAATCGTCAAAATTAATAAAAGCAGAAAGAGTCCTCTTTTGTAAAGAAAAAAATGAAGAAACTAATAGTCTAGAAATATGCGTATGCATTTAGTGCATAAAAATGGAAAATGGAGGGTAATTCCGTGCAAGCTGGACACCTGTATTTGAATAAGTTTAGTAATGAAAAAGGGCCAACCTATTTTATTTTAAGATGAGGATTCAGGGGGACTGGAGGGCCGTGGGCACCTGCGTCTTCCAGAGGCAACCCTGGAATGAGTTTGTTTCCATTTCTTGCAGCAGCTGGCTTAGCTAACCACACAATCTGAAAGATGCCTGAAGGCAGTTAAACAGTCCTCACCTATTCAGCCGTAATTCACCCAATTAGGTGACAGGTCCGACCCGAAGGACCTGGAGAGGCTCTCACAGTCATCACATCTTCTTTTTGGCCAGTTGAGAGCTGGCTCCGACTCGGAGGCGTGGGGGGCCCTGCACAGACCCAGGGGAGCTGCTGGGATGGAGCCCACCTCAGGGGTCTGGGACGTTGCTTCAGACTCGCCTTTCAACGGAACATGCTGGGCTGACAGCCTTGTGGTTTCCCTGACTTTGAATCGGGTCTGTTTGGCATATTTGCTTAGAGACCTAGTCTTGAAGAGTTCGATGGTTTGGCTTCAGAAATTGTTTTAGAATATTTTCGAATAGGACAGAGTGATCAAGGGAAAAATGCTGAATAGGAAACACTACCATGTAAATGTGGAATCTTTTAAAGAGCTAAAATATTAAAGTACTGAAACAATATGAAGATGTTTGATTTACTTATTTTCACACATACAAGATGTGTGTGTATTTGTGAGTGTGTATCTGTGTGCATTCCTGTGTGTGTGCACCTGGGTGTGCACACCTGCGTACCTCTAAGCACCGTTCTAGCTGTGGGGAAATAGCAGTGAACAATAGTCTTGCCCTCCTAAAGGGAGAGAGAAATAGGAGAAACGGGTAAGGAGCCTGGTACGGGTCGAGTGATAAACGCTGTGGAGAGCGAAGCAGAGGGGCTGGGGTCCTGGAACCCCAGGCAGGGTCCACACTGAAGTTTTAAATTTAGGGGATCGGGAGGGTTATTTTGGTCAAATAGGAGGGGAACCTGCAGGAGCTACTGTGCTCTGGACGAGGAATGAGGCTGGCAGGCCTGGCCGGGGCATCCAGCTCTGTGGACCTGAAGCTTCCGTGACGGTGGCACTCATTTAGGGATGACAAGCCTTAGAGCCAAAGGTGGAGGTGAGCGCGAGACCAGGTTGAGCAAAGCCCCATCAGCCACGAGGCTTCCTAGAGGGCAGGGGGACTGGAGGACACAGGAGCATGAGGGCAGGAGCCCTGAGAACAAGGGGCCATGCTGGCAGGCGAAGATGTGGCTGATTGTCTGGGAAGGGGAGGCCAGTGCTGGGTGAGGGCGTGAACCTGCGTGCCCTTATATTTTGTGGTAGCCATATTTACAAAAACGAAACAGTAACCGGTAAAATTCCTGCTGCCGATGTATTTTACTGAACTCAGTATATCAGAACAACTATCCACTCACCCTGAAATCAATGCGACACATCTTTGGACATTTGAGACTCTATGCCACATACCAAGTCTCTAAAATCCAACTTGTATTATACATCTATAGCCCCCGCCCCATTCAATCCAGGGCAGCATTGCAGTGCCGTGGCCCCCAGCAGCCCACATCAGAGCCTGGGTGCTGACGTCCTGGCAGGGGGAACTGGAGGCGCCAAAAGGAAATGCCTTCTTCAGTAGGGGAGTGTCCCCCGCCCCACTGCTCTGGGAACAGCTGCAGGCAGGTTCCCTCTCTCCAAGCACTCTCAGACAGTGCTGTGATGAGACCCTTGTCACAGGTATTTTTGGGGACTCTGTGTCTTCTAGGAAAGGCTCCCGGGTCGTGGTCTCCCTGACAAGAGTCCTGCACTATGCAGGTTGCTCTCCTGATCCTCAAATGTGTCCTGGAGCTTCCCCTGGACCCTGGACACCCCAGCACATGGGTGAGCCGATGTCCAATGCAGGCCACGCACGAAATGCATCCACAGTGGGAGCCAGTGGTCATCCTGGTCAGGGCCAGCCTGCAGTTACCCCTGCCTGGCAAATAAGACATGGAGGTCGGGAGGGCTGGTTCCCTACTCCTGGTCATGTCACGGGACATTCTGGAACTGAGGCTCCATGTCTAGAAGCAGTGCCTGCTGGTGTCCCTGTGAGCTTGGGGGCCCATCTTCCAGGCCAGTCCTTGGTTCCTGCATAATCATTATGATACTGCCTTTCTTCTTCATAATTTTATGGAGGCTGACTTTATTTTCATTTCTCTGGTATATTTTTTAAAAACAAAAAGCAAAGTAGAAAGAATAATGTAAGACAAATGCCATTTGTTTTCTACCCGATAATATTCTGTAATAATTGTAACTCTCTTTTAACAAAATAAAAAACATGAACTGTTGCAGGCAAACCCCTCTGTCACCCTCCACTGTCTTTGCCATTTCTGATCTTTGCCAGAATTGTCTTTTAAAATTTTATTAGTGGTGAAATATGACAGTTTCCCACCTAAGATCAGAAGCAGCAGAGGGCTGCCTGTGCCCACCAGAGCCGTTCACGATGGTGCCAGGAATCCTAGTCGGCTTACTCAGACAAGCAAAAAACACATCATGTTTGGAAAGAAAAGAGTGAGATTATCATTACTCACAGAGGGCATCATCATCTGTAGAAAATTCTGCATAACATGTAAACCAAAAATAAATTCTAAGCCCCCCAACAATCTAAACAGACTCCTCCCCTTGGCCAAGGGCATTCCAGAGTTAACCTGAAAAAATAGCTCAGCCCATGATGGGAATGGGGTCGACGAGCCTCGTTATTCCCTCTCCCATTTGGAATTCAGGAAAAGCTGACTAGCATTAATATCAACACAGATCTCTTAAGTCTGAGAAGAAACATTTACAGTCTATACCTGGAGGCTTCATTTGCATGATAAAACCTTGGTCTCTACAATCCCCTATCATAACCCAGACACTCCCTTCTATTGATAATAACCAATTGCCAATCAGAAAATCTTTAAATCTTAAATGACCTGGAAGTCCCCCACTTAGAGTTGTCCCACCCTTCGAGATGAAACCAACGTACATCTTACACGTGTTTGATTGATACCTCATGTCTCCCTAAAAGGTAGAAAACCGAGCTGCCCCCGACCACCTGAGGCACATGTTCTCGGCATCTCCTGAGGCTGCGTCACAGGACATTGGCCACTCTCTTTTGGCTCATAATAAATCTCTTCAAATACTTTACAGAGTTTGACTCTTTTCATTGACACAAAAAAATGCCTAGAACTAAGAGGGAAGTTACCAAGGCTGAGGATACACAGAACAACTGTTTCTATAAACTTGCAATGAACAATTGGGAATTTACATTTAAATATCATTTATAAAGTCATCAAAATATGGAACATTTTGATAAATATTTGACAAATATTTTTAAGACTTGTAAAATGAAAACTAGAAAATATTGCTAAGATAAGTTTTAAAAGACCTAAATAAACAGAGAGGAAAACCATGTTCATGGACCAGACGACTGGATATTTGGATGGTGTCTCTCTCCTTAAATTAATCTGTTCAAAGCAATCCCAATAAAATCTCAGTAGGTTTTTTTTTTTGTAATTAACATCAATTTTCAGCTGCTTCTTAAATTCATAGAAAATAGCCAACAGGCTGAACAAAACTGGAAGGCTTACCTCATCTGATTTCAAGACTTCCTCTAAAGCAATCGCATTTGGTACTGTGGTATTGGCCTCAGATAGACACTCAGACCAAAGAGACAAAACAGAGCTCAGAAACAGGCCCATAGGTCCCATAGGTGTAGAGCTGACTTTTCAGCTGGGATGCCAGTGACTCTTGAGAGGAGCATGTGTGTGTTTTGTTTTTGCTCCTGGGATATTTCCTTTATTTCTTCTAAGCCTGGAAATGAAAAACACAATCAGGATCTAGTTAATCTATAGCAGGAAGTTTCTTAGAATATCTGGTCTAAAGGCGTAGAAAATCTGCATGGTTACTCATTCCTGAGTGTCTGCAGGGCTCTGGGCATTCAGCCAGGTGCTTTGCATGCATCTTCTATTGAATCCTCCCAACAACTCTGAGGACATTTCTGCAACCAATCTTTTACAGGAGCCCAGAGACTTGTGCAGCTCGTTCTCCATCACATCCCAAACCTGTGTCAGAGCAGAGAGTTGGTGTCAGGCCTGCGACCTCTCAGTAGCCCCAGATGGACTCATTTCAATGATTAACAAGTTCAAAGAATCCCAGACAGGAGATCAGCTACTAGAATCTCAACAATTAACACCCTCACCTGGGTGCTTCATTTAAATGTTTATAGCCTTGCAGTAAAGCTGCACAGGAAGGTGGGGCAAAATCAAGCCTGCCAAACATAATTTTAAAAAGACCCCAGGAGATGTGTTTGAGGCTGACAGATTCTTCTGTGCACCCAAATTGCCTGTGAGCCCGTGATTTCCCGATCTCCATGGCATGAAGGGAGGCCTGCTCTTCTTAGATGCTTCAACAAGAGACTGGTGAAGGAAGATTAGGCGTGGAAATGGATCCTGTGTCTCAGTGGCCTTGAATATTTGAGTTGAAAACATAATAAAACAAAAGAAGAGGGCTCCTCTCAGCATCCCCATCTTCCTTTTCTTACCTGGGATGAAGGGTGTGATGTGCATTAACAAGAAACAGGAGGACCCTCCCCAGACACACCGAGGTGGGGGGTGCAGTATGAGGGTGTCACAAGGACCCTCCCCAGACACACCCAGGTGGGTGGTGCAGTACCAGGGTGCCACGAGGACCCTCCCCAGAGGCACCCAGATGGGGGGTGCAGTACCAGGGTGCATGGCTCATTTTTTTATTTTTTATTTTTTAGTATTTATTGATCATTCTTGGGTGTTTCTTGGAGAGGGGGATGTGGCAGGGTCATAGGATAATAGTGGAGAGAAGGTCAGCAGACAAACAAGTGAACAGAGGTCTCTGGTTTTCCTAGGCAGAGGACCCTGCGGTCTTTCGCAGTGTTTGTGTCCCTGGGTACTTGAGATTAGGGAGTGGTGATGACTCTTAACGAGCATGCTGCCTTCAAGCATCTGTTTAACAAAGCACATCTTGCACCGCCCTTAATCCATTTAACTCTGAGTGGACACAGCACATGTTTCAGAGAGCACCGGGTTGGGGGTAAGGTCATAGATCAACAGCATCCCAAGGCAGAAGAATTTTTCTTAGTACAGAACAAAATGGAGTCTCCTATGTCTACTTCTTTCTACACAGACACAACAACAATCTGATCTCTCTTTCTTTTCCCCACATTTCCCCCTTTTGTTTTTGACAAAACTGCCATCGTCATCATGGCCCGTTCTCGATGGTCGCTGTCTCTTCGGAGCTGTTGGGTACACCTGCAGAAAGGCTGTCACTTCACACTTGGAAGATTGCACAGCGGCCAGGCAGAGGGGCTCCTCACTTCCCAGACGGGGCGGCCGGGCAGAGGTGCTCCTCACCTCCCAGACGGTGTGGCGGCCCGGCAGAGGCTGCAATCTCGGCACTTTGGGATGCCAAGGCAGGCGGCTGGGAGGTGGAGGTTGTAGTGACCCGAGATCACTCCACTGTGTGTGATGGAGTCTCACTCTGTCGCCCAGGCTGTAGTGCAATGGTGCGATTCTGCAACCTCTGCCTCCTGGGTTCAAGCAATTCTCCTGCCCCAGCCTCCTGAGTAGCTGAGATTACAGGCATGCACCACCACACCCAACTAATTTTTATTTTGTAATTTTAGTAGAGACAGGGTTTCACCATGCTCATCTCAAACTCCTGACCTCAGATGATCCACCCACCTTGGCCTCCCAAAGTGCTGGGATTACACAGGTGTGAGCCACTGCACCTGGCCTCATTTCTTAAATTTTTCAGTTATGATTTTTCTAACACATTCAGCCTCATATGATGTCCTAAGGCAATGTGCACCAGATAATTTATTGATTAGAAAATGTAGTAAAATGTTTTACTATATTTCAGAATAAGTAGATTCACAATGATAAAGTAAAAATATCAGGAATGGTCAATATTTATTTCACTAAACATCTTCTAGGAAATAGTATCTTGCAATTTGTAAACCTCGAATGTCTGAGACAGGTCTCAGTCCATTTAGAAAGTTTATTTTGCCAAGATTGAGGACACGTGCCTGTGACCCAGCATCAGGAGGTCCTGACGACATGTGCACAAGGTGGTCGGGGCACAGCTTGGTTTTGTACATTTTAGGGAGACAGGAGACATCGATTCATATATGTAAGATGTACATTGGATCCATCCAGAAAGGTGGGGACAACTCGAAGCAGGGAGGGGGCTTCCAGGTCACAGGAACGTAAGAGACAAATGGTTGTATTCTTTTGAGTTTCTGATGAGCCTTTGCAAAGGAAGCAATCAGATATGATTTTGTCTCAGTGAGCAGAAAGATGACATTGTCTAGGGTGGGAGGCAGGTTTGCTCTGAGCAATTCCCAACTTGACTTTTCCCTTTAGCTTAGTGATCTTCCGGCCCCCGAATTTATTTTCTGTTCACAAATTGATACTATTGTTGACCGAAAAACCCCCCAAACTCTGTAAAATATGTAAAGAAGTTTCTTCTAAGCCAATATGAGTGACCATGGCCCGGGGAACAGTCTCAAGAGGTCCTGAGAAAGTGTGCCCAGGGAGTTGGGTCACCGCTCGGTTTTATACATTTTAGGGAGACAGACGTTACAGGCAAAGACATTGATCAATACGTGGAAGGTGTAAATTGCTTCTGCCTAAAGAGGTGGGACATCTCCAACTTGGGGTGCTTACAGGTCACAGGTGGATTCAAAGATTTTCTGATTGACAATTGGGTGAAAGAGCTAAACATTTTTTAAAGACTTGAAGTCACTAGAAAGAAAGGCTTGGGTTAAGATAAGGGGGTTGTGGAGACCACGGTTCTTGTTATGCAGATGAAGCCTCCCAGGTCACTGTCTTCAGAGAGAATAGAAGGTGAATGTCTCTTTTCAGACTTTGAAAGTGTCAGACTCTCATTTAATCTCCCTTAGATCCAGGAAAGGCCTAGAAAGGAAGGCCTGGCTGCATTAATGGAGATTCTCTACAGATGCAAATTTCCCCCACAAAAGATGGCTTTGCAGGGCCGTATCAACATAGGTCAAAAAAATACAGTTTGGAGTAAAATATTTTGCTTTCCTACAGGGTCTTCAGGAACTGGATATTGTGCCAGCCAGTTTTCTGTAATTAGTCATCTCAGAACAATTTTTCTCCCTGAGCTGCGGCCCCTCCCAAGGCTCAGCTTGGAGGACACCAACAATGAGGACACCAACAATGAGCACCTCCTGGGCAGCCCTGAGGACCCACACATGGAGGCCGCACAGCCCAGCCCCTACCCTGAGGCACACCGTCTACACAAACCCCGGCCTGGACCCAGCCTCATGGCCCACAGGCAGGTCCTGAGGACACCCACAGCATTGCTGTGAGCCACTTCCTGCACAGTGCGCGGGCAGGATCAGGACATAGCTGCTGGAGCCTCCACCCTGAAAACCCCACTCTTCCCAGAGCCCAGAGGCCAGGGCAGGTCCCCAGCTGTGCACAGCGCTGTTTAACCCAGGCCCTTGCTCTTTGAGCTCAGCCTCTGGGAGAGTTTAACACAGAAAAGGCCCTGCCCTGGCCTCCTAAGATGAAAATCTAGGTGGGGACGGGGGGCACAAGTGTAGTTAAACACCTGTGAGCAAAGCACTGCTGTGGATGGATTTGCGGGGAACACATTGACACCCTACCCTTTCCACACAGAGAAACACAAACATACTCATGCACACTCACACACATGCACACTCACATGCATGCACACTCACACGCATATACACATTCACACACACGCACAATGTTCACACTCACACGCACAATGTTCACACTCACACATGCACATAATCACACATGCATTCACACTCACACGCATACACACACATGCACACACACCCATATTCACCCATACACACACTGACACACATGCTGAAACACACCCACACATGCATACACACAATGCATGCATACTTACAAGTACACACATATACACACACATTTGCATACATACAGTTGCATGCAGAGAGCTTCACACATGCACACACAGGCATTCACAAGCTGTCCCACACATGCACATACACTCTCACTGACACTCTCAGACACACATGCATACTCGCGCTCACACTCATGCACACAACACAAGCCACGCGAGCAGCAGCCAAGAAGCACATGGCGTCAGGTGCGCCCTCCCTCACCTATGACCCAGCCAGGCGGCATCCTGCATTTTAAATACAACGGCTCCCCCCAGCCCTTCAGGTCTTCTTCTCACCGATCAAGTGTGTGTTCACGCGTGTGTTCCTGACATCCCCTTTGGCATGGGGCTGTGCTTCCAGCCTGCAGAATCTGCATGTGGCTGGTGAGAGCGATCCCTGGGGACATTGCCAGGAAGCCTCCCACAGCCGGGAAGCAGCGCTGAGGTATAGGAGGGAGCTTCTCTGGGGGCCTGGAAGGGTTAACTGAGACTGTTAGGCGTGCTCTCAAATGATTACACAAATCACTGTTGTAAATCACAATATCCCTGACTTTGGAATTTTTATCTTGTTTTCAGGTAAAGATCATCTTGTTCTGCTGAAAGTCAAAAGCAGCCCCTATTGTTGTTTTTTAAATAACTCTCTAATTAAAACCAAACAATTCTGTAGACTCTTCCATAGGAAATATATTCATGAGGCTGATGCTTATAGAAAGTTTTATCTTGTGAGTTATTAAATAAAAATGCATTCAAATTTCAAGAACTGTTTATTGGGCCGCAAGCATAGTTAATTTTATCAAATATTGAAGACGTTTTAAAATGGCACATGCTGGGTTCAGGTTGCGGTTCCAATGATCCACCTATGGTACGTGTTTATCTACCATAAACACAGATTCTTGCATTTGAAACAGAACACTGAAAGTGAAACTTAGCAGAAAACCAAACGTATCAACGTCCTTTGAGAAAGAATAAGCACAGGGGTGTGGAGGAGAGCCGGGCCAGCCTCAGACTCAGCCTCCCTGGAGCCCGAGACGTCCACTTCTGTGAGGTCCCGAGGGAAGCGGATGTGGTCCTCTTCTAGCTAGCCACATTTTCCTTTAAGTAAAAAGGCAACTGACAATCTTTCTCAAGTCATCAAAAACTCAGGGAAGATCCATCCAAACAATAACGACAAAAATCAACCAAAGAAATAAGCCAAGAAAAAGGGTGGCAAAGTTAAAATTTACTTCAACAGGCTGGGCGCAGTGGCTCACACCTGTAATCCTAGCACTTTGGGAGGCCAAGACAGGCGGATCACCTGAGGGCGGGAGTTTGAGACCAGCCTGACCAACATGGAGAAACCCCGTCTCTACTAAAAATACAAAATTAGCTGGGCATGGTGGCCCATGCCTGTAGTCCCAGCTACTCGGGAGGCTGAAGCAGGAGAATCGCTTGAACCCGAGAGGCAGAGGTTGCGGTGAGCTGAGATCAAGCCATTGCACTCCAGCCTGGGTGACAGAGCGAGACTCCGTCTCAAAAAAAAAAAAAAATTTCACTTCAACAGAGAAACTAAGACTCAACCAATGTGAGCATTATAAATAAAGAGAATGTAAACGTTATGAAGTTGAAACAGTAAGTTGGAGTTTTCTGAAGAGAAAGCTTTTTCAGGGCCCATACCTCTCCTGCCTTTATAGATTTTCTTTTCCTCGAGCTACCAAAAGATGCCTTTGTCCTTGAGGTCTGGTTACAAGTCAAGGTATTTTACGATATCGATCTTTATCACTTTTTTTCTTGGAACAGAAGATAAACAGGTACAAATGTTTCATTTTTTTAAAGACGCTTTGTGTTCTCAGCTCTTTGATTTTCTTTATTTCTTCAGTCTTCTTTAAGAGCACCAACTGCACCCATGCTATTTCCCGTCGTCTCCACAGCTACCATCTTCTCTGAGGTCACTGCAGTCGCATTGCCATTTTTCGTGTCATCCTGTGTGACTTCCTCAGATCTGTTCCACGCGTCAAGGGCTGTTTCCCGTCAATTTATTCTACTTCTTTGGGCTTCTCTGTCAGCTAACATGTTTACATCTGGAAGGTTTTCCTCTTGCATTTATTTCCTGAGCCATCATAGCTCATTCTTCCCTCACTCCGCAAACTGCCCCTGAGCCCTTACACCCTTCAGTTCTTTTCCCTAGAAGGGCTTAACTGGACTCTTACTTTGGAGCGATTTTGTTGTTTCTTTGGATTTCTTCCTTCTTTGCCCTTTTCAGTTTTGATTTTTGTTTGTTTGTTTGTTTTTTGAGATGGAGTCTCAGTCTGTCACCAGGCTGGAGCGTAGTGGCACAATCTCGGCTCACTGCAACTTCCGCCTTCCGGGTTCAGGTGATTCTCCCACCTCTGCCTCTTGAGTAGCTGGGGCTACAGGTGTGTGCCACCACGTCCGGCTAATTATTTGTATTTTTAGTAGAGATGGGGTTTCACCATGTTAGCCAGGATGGTCTCGATCTCCTGACCTTGTGATCCACCTGCCTCAGCCTTCCAGAGTGCTGGGATTACAGGTGTGAGCCACTGCGCCCAGTCTTGAAACATTTTAAAGACAAAAAAAAGTACAAATAATTTTATAAAACAGTCATATTCCCACAACCAGAATTAACAAAATATTTTGCCACGTTGGTTTCTAGTCCTTTGGAAAGGACTCTGGCGAGGTAGAAGGATCCTTACAGCAACACAGTTGCAGCCTCTCCCACCCGGGGCGGCCAGTTTGAGGTATTTGGTTTGTATTTTTATATGACTGTTTTTTAAGTTTCACATACCCGTATATTTGCATTTATCCGTGACATAAATCTGTCTTTTGAGCATGTTACTGACGTGACGGGCACTGACCTGCATTGACGACTCTGCTCCTTCCTCTTCTCACAGTGCCGGTTAACCCAAAATCCATCTGGTCTGTTTCATTCTACTAGTTTTTGGCTGTTCACACCTAGGCTTCTATTTATCTAAAGTATCCTTTTGAGGGTGGAATGAGGCAGGAACCCTGTTCCCCAGATGAAAGCCCAGTCCCTGGGCTGTGTGCTGAGTGCCTTGTTCCCAAACTTAGGAAGCTGTCTCCATCGGGTCACAGACTCCCACGAGAGTCTGTCTCTGAGCTCTGCACTTTTCTGCCAACCTATTAACGCCACACTGTTTTCATTACCATACCTTTGTATATATTTGCTTTCTCTTCCAATTTGGCTTTTTTTTTCCAAAAAAAAGTTTTAACTGTTTTTTCTCCTCAAACCTTTTAAACGTTAAGTTATTTTTAAAAATGTTAAAAAACAAAAGTAGATGGGATAGGAGAGTGAGCTCCTATGTGTCTGTCCTCAGCATCAAAAAATCACCAAATCAGGCCCAATTTCATTGCCTCTGCTCCCCCACCAGCCTCTCCTCCTCCCCCAGACTCTTTTAAAACCAATTACAGGCACTACACCATGTCATCTGTGAGCATTTCTGAAGATATTTATTCACATATATTCTTCCATATGTGCTCTGGAATCAGTTTGTTAAAGTCCCCATATATTTTGATGAATCTTGATGGAATGTTCACTGAATGCTAAGATGTTGGAGAATTTACTGTTATCCAAATACTCCTGTCCGAAACACTGGTGCTTCTCCTCCTCAAATTCTTCCTTCGGGCCTTTCAATAACATGTTTGTAGTTCTCTCCAGGAAGGTCTTGCACATATTTTTGGATTTTGCTCAACTCTGACTGTCATAGATTTTACTGTGGCCATGAATGGCCCACATTTAGGGTTCTATTCCCCATCTGGTGACTGCCAGAGTAAATGCTAAGAACTCCCAGTACAGCTCTTGTTCTCTGCACTCTTGCCGAACTCTTGTATTGATGTCTGTAATTTATTCAAAGATTCTCTCGAATTCTATATGTATAGAATCATAGCATCTGCAAGAAAGTCAATCTTTTGCTGTACTTTTTTATTCTTATAGTTATTTGGGTTTTTTTTTTTGTTTGTTTGTTTGTTTGTAATTTTGAATTGTATTGCAATGGTTTGGGATTTCAATGTGTTGCTGAATAAGAGCAGTGATAATTGGCAGCATTTTCGTGTTCTTGATATTTATGGGCACTGTATGCTTTCCATCTGCCTAATGTCTTTTTCCTGCCTAAGTGTTTGATTTTTCCTGGTGTCTCTGCGTAGCCCTGTGTGGTTCCTGGCTGGTGCCGTTCCTCTGTTTCCTGGTGTCTCTGCGTAGCCCTGTGCGGTTCCTGGCTGGTGTCATTCCTCTGGGGAAGGAGGCAGCTCTGCTGAACCAGCTACATCCCTAGGCCCGGCAGGAGGCAGGGCGAGGGAGTGAGCTGTGGAAAGAACACATCGACCGGGGCTTGCTCCCCTGAACACCTTCAACACTCTTACCCTCCTCTTTCACTTCATTCTCCTCTTCTCAGCTTTCCTGGGTCACCAATGGGTGGAGGTGGCCTCTCGCTCCTGTCCACCTCATCACAGGCTGAAACCCTGATCATGAACAATGGAAACTGTTTATGGACTCAGGTGCATTCTCGCCTCCCGCATCTCCATTCCTCCTTCCCAGTGCCCCTCAGCTGCGGTGCCCATCTGCACCCAACACTGGGGCAGAACCTGGCTTTGGGGCAACAAGTACTCCACAGAGTAGGTCAATGGGGTGGGGCATTCAGGCAGAGTGACACACGGGTTTGCCCCAAACTTCACCTCTGGTAGGGGGTCTCCTGGGAATCCCACAAAGGTTGGGCCTGGCAGGGATCGGCGACAGGACTCTGCCCTGGCTGGGCCTGTTTCTGTCCATCTGCTCTTTCCCTTCCCTGCCCAGCTCGTTGCTGAGTCTGTGGACATGAGATGCGCCAGGGACAGAGAGCTTGGGCGTGGGGGGGCCTGTGACCCTGGGGTCTTAGGGAGCCTGCTTGGGTCACACCATATCTCCTCTCTGCCCTGCGCCTGGCACTGAGCTGCCTTTCAAGGCTGAAAATGTGGGCTCTGTTTTCCATCTGTCTGCATCATTTATGTTGAGACGCTCCCAGTCGTCTGATTTTCCGTGTTATCACCTCAGGACATTTAAACAATTAACGGTTTAGCAGCAGGAAGATAACTGCCACATACACAGTCAGTGTCCTGGTTAGAAAACAAGCAATCAGAGAAAATATGTTTTGAAAAGAATTAGTGGGCGGGCTGAGCTTCCTATCTTTCACCTGGTAGATTAATGATTGTATGTCAACACAGCGACAGGCTAACATTTTCAAATAGAAAGACATGTGATTAAATCTCTCTTTTGATGTGTTCTGCAAATTGCTTCTCTAAGCTCTGCTTCCAAAGGGCGGCTCTCCAATTAGAGTCAGATTATTATTACGGGTTAGCGATCACTCCTGCTCCCGTAGCTGACTCATTCTTTAACATGCTAATTAGCAAATACATCCAGTGCCTTGCATCATATTTGACCTTCAGCGTTCTTTTCTAACTGGAATCATTTCATGCCATTCCGATGAAATGGAGACATTGTTCTGAGGTTTCTGACCCCTCCCTCCTAAGGGCCCCGTGATCTGCCACAAAGCCCGGGAAGATCAGCCACACACACACCCCTCTCCGGATCATTCTTTTCCAGAGGTCAATGACTTAATAAGTTCACTTTCGTTCAGCAAGTTTACCGTTGCTCCTCTTAAAGTGACAGCTTGTGTGTTCGTGACAATTTGGTATTGTTACTGAAGTGGACCTCACACTGGGGTCAAGAATTCCTAAATTGCTACCTAATGGTCACTGTGAAGAGAGGATGCTGTACCGACCACAGCTGCATCCCACGGGGTCTGGAGAGGACCAGAGGCCTGGGCCCCACCAGGTCACAGAGTTGGTCATGAGTTCCCCTTCTCCTTTCTCTCCTTACTTCATGTAGGTATATTCTTTCTAAAAAGATTAAGTGGCATCATATAAAATTGATATACCTGCTTCTCACTCTTTCAGCTGCCAGAGGCTCCAAGGCCCTTGGTCCTGGCTAGGCCCCTCCATGGTCACAGCAGTGATGGCCTCGTCCTTCCCACATGAGGACCCCAAGGGTAACCCTGGGTAACTCCCACCCAAGGGCCCTGCTTGGAGCCTGAGTCCACCTGCAGCTGGGTGTCCTTTCCCCCATGCCCAACACACTCAGTCTCTGGGGATCAGGGTTTGTGCATCTCTGGGTGGCTGCTCCACCAGCCCCAGCAGGGCGCCGTGGGCGCGTGGGTCCTGTGCCAGCATCTGCCTGGCTGTCACCATGGGCATCTGCCTGAAGGCAGCAGTTCCCCGCCTTCCTGCCTGCTGTGAATCTCGTTTCTGCTCCCTGGTTTCTGCCTGGCTGTCACCATGGGCATCTGCCTGAAGGCAGCAGTTCCCCGCCTTCCCGCCTGCTGTGAATCTCATTTCTGCTCCCTGGTTTCTGCCTGGCTCCCATGGAAGAGATCGTCGCATTCTCTGCTTCTCTCCACTGTCTGCCCTGCTCCTGTAAGCACGGCCATTTCTGTCAAGTGCCTCTCAACCTCAGAGTTCATGCAACACTTGAGGTGAACAAAAAGCCCAGGCCTCTCCATCTGGAGCAGGTTTGCAGATTCTCATAGCCCCCATAATTGTCGCTCCAGAGCGGGTTTACAGACTCTCATAGCCCCCATACTTGTCGCTCTCAGCAGCTATCTCAGAACCTGTTATTTATTAGCCAAGTGATGTGATTGGTCTCTCTTCTCATTAGATCACGACCCCTATGGGGACACGAACCTGTTTATTCCCACACTGAGGCTTCAACCCAGGGCCTACGCTTAGGAAATACTTGACATTTGTTGAGTTTGTGAACAGACGAACATGTCCCCCATTAAATGAAGCTGAGTGAAGTGGAGGCTTAGAGGAGATGGTGACAGCAGGAGATGCAGCCGTGGGAGCAGATTCTCCCTCTCAGTGACATCACCAGTGCAGCAGCTGACCGGCGGCTGACTGTGTGTGGGGGTCAATTGGGCAGCTTCGGTCTGTCCCTCTGTAGAGATGGCTTATGGTGCAGATGTGCAGCAAGCAGGCCTGGCTCTCCTGCAGGCCAGTCCTCACCCACCTGTGCCTCAGTTTCCTCTTTTGTAAAACAGGGACAAGGCAGTCCTCCTCTCGTAGCAATGTGGGGGTGGCTGAGGGAGCTGTGAGCATTTGTCCCTGGACTTAGGACAGAGTCTGGTGTGCCCTTTGAGACTGGGCCACCCTTTAAGCTCCAGCACTCCAGTGACTCCAGCAGCATCAACTGTGCTCCACTCACACGAAGATGCTCTAGACTGTAGACACACCATTGCGTTCATGGAACCGAGAGAGGAAAAACACTTCCAATTAAACTATGACAAGCCATGTAACTAAGATACATTCTGATTCCTGAAATGTGAGGCTGTGAACACCATGTGTGCCCCAGCATCTCTAAGACACCAGTGTCCCAAGGGAAGACACTGAGGACCATGATGGGGCAGTGCCCAGCGGGGCACGATGGCTGAGCGGGCTGCTGGGGGCCAGCTGCCAAGCCAGGTGGGCTAGAGCCCGACTCCCGTACCACCTCCCCGCCCAGGAGCTGGCGGAATGCGTCTTCACATTGTTTTTGCTGTGGCTCCTGACTCTGCCAGCATGAAACACATTTATCTCAAAATTTCTCGCGAACACATACTTGATATTATTGTTCTCAGAATATTTACTGGGAAAGGGCATAAGGACAAAAAGGCACTTTGTTTAGTAACATTTTACTGAATTTGTATTTAATTCATCACAAAAGCATCTAAGCACCTTGGTGGACCCAAAACCACACCTGGAGACATGTCAGTCTCAGACCACAGTTGCTTGAAGGGCCCTTATGACAACTCAACATATTCCCAGGGGTTCCAAGACCACAGCCTGGGATTCTGCACTCCAAAATGAGGTTTACAGCCCTTAGTCAGGTCTGCAAGTTCTTAGCTTCTAGAGCAGCCTCCAAGATGGGAGCTCATTTAGAACGGCCCCATACCCCCTTGAGCACCCCAACTCTGAGCCTCCCCAGCAGCCAGGTGTTGTCTTGGTGTGCAAAAACCCCTGATTGTTTTTAAGCTGGTGTCGACACGCTTCCCTGTCATTGACCCTCATTGTGCCAGTAAAGCTGTGCTACACAATTCAGTTCTGTGTTGTGGGATTTGCTAAGAACCCTGCTGCAAGGTGGGTTGTTGCCCCCGCGGCACCTTCTTCAGAAGCCTGGATTTCTATTAGTTCGTCTTCACGGGTGGAATGGCTGCATGCATTTCCCACCCGTGCACCCTGCCCATGGTAGATCAGAAGGAAGATTAGCAGGAAGGAGTTTGCAGCAATAGAAATGTTTTTTCCTAATCTCTAAGCCGGCTATACAGACTGTCCTAGCCTTATCTCAGAGCCAGTAATGAATTAATCAAAACGCAGAGAGCTGCTTCTGCAGGTGAAATGAGCACTGCTAAGAAGCTGCTGATAACATCCTTCAGGTGATCCTCTTTTTTAAAAAAACATATATTTTGTCTCTATTGGATTATTTTCCTTCTCTCAGGGACACTGCAGCGGTGTATGCCCAGATCAGCATGAGCATGCCCAGATGCTCCAGGGTCCAGCACAATGACCACACCCAGCCCCTCTGTTACCTGCAGTGAGCACCGGTGAAGGGGAATGAAGAAGGCCCTGCTGCAGGGTGGGCAGTGTGGAGGGAGGGACTTGAAGGGGCCGTGGGTCTGCTTTCTCGGGGAGGGACCATGGGTGCAGGCGACAGACACACCTGAGCTCCTGTGGAATCATCTTCCTGACTTCTTGGCTCCGGGCTCCAGGGTCCAGTCCAGTTCCCATCCACACGGAAGGAAAAGGATGAACAAACTGAAAATCAACAACTCTTCTTCACCCGTCGGAGAACTGAGTCACCAGGCAAAGCACGGCCCCCAAATCTGGAGACACAGACAAGTGGGTTCTGAGAACCTCAGCTGACAGGAGCAGAACCTCTGCGGGGCCAGTGCCAGGGACTTGAGCTGCCCCTCATGAATTTCTGGAGATGCCACCTGGACAAGTGAGAGAAAAACTCCAGGGGAACCCAGTCATGGGGGACCTGCGCTTGGTGAATTTTACCTCCGAGAGCTCGACCAGGTTCCCACATTAGAGAGGAAAAATCGGCCAGGCGCGGTGGCTCACGCCTGTAATCCCAGCTCACTTTGAGAGGCCGAGGCAGGCCAATTGCCTGAGCTCAGGAGTTTGAGTCTACCCTGGGCAACATGGTGAAACCTCATCTCTACTAAAATACAAAAAATTAGCCGGGCGTGGTGGCGCGCGCCTATAGTCCCAGCTACTCAGGAGGCTGAGGCAGGAGAATCGCTTGAACCCAAAGGCAGAGGTTGCAGTGAGCCAAGATCGCGCCACTGCACTCCAGCCTGGGTGACAGAGGGTGAACTTGTCTCAAAAAAAAAAAAAAAAAGGGAGGGAGGAAATATCCCCACTTACTTACAGCCAGGGGAAAAGGATTATTTTGAAATACACCCTGTTCTCATGAGGGCTGCTTTAGGGGGAATTATTTCACCAGAGTCTAACAGACCCAAATTTTTCATCAGTCTAACCTACTTGGGGAAAAGCAAACCCCAACTCCAGCCCCCTCTGGCCTTCCAGGCCCACCCAAGGGGGAAGGGGAGATACAAACTCAGCAGCACTCTGTGAGGTCATGGCACAGGGCACAGGCTCTGGAAACTCTGGTCCTAAATCACAGGGCCGTGCGCACACCTTCCAACCACCGCAGTTCCCTGTCTACAGGCCCCTCTACAATAACGGGTGTTTCCCAGGAAGAATGCTTGTTTCAGGCCTGACTCTAGGAGAACTGCCTTTCTGATGTTAAGGTGTCAGAGGGCTGGCTTCTAAACCCTGGGTTAAATCATTTAGTGGCACATTTAGCCATCAACCCGTGAGAGTTCAGAAAGGACGCACGTTCACATGCACAGAAACAGTAAACAGGCCGGCGCCATGGCTCACGCCTGTAATCCCAGCACTTTGGGAGGCCGGAGGTGGGCCGATTGCTTGAGCCTAGGAGTTCGAGACCTGCCTGGGCAACGTGGCGAGAGCCCTCCTACACAAAAACTACAAAAATTAGCTGGGCATGATGGTGCATCCCTGCAGTCCCAACTACTTGGGAGGCTGAGGCAGAAGAATCACTTGAGCCTGAGAGGTGAAGGCTGCAGTAAGCCGAGATTGCCCCGATCCACTCCAATGTGGGCCGCGGGAGTAAAACCCTGTCTCAAAAAAAAAAAAAAAAAAGAAAAGAAAAAGAAACAGTAAGCAAGCTTGCTTCTCTACTCCTCCTCAAGGAGAAGCAGCCATTGTCCCATAATATTCATAAACCTGCTGTTGAAGGTTCTCAGGGAGTCTTGCCTTGCACACCTGTGTAAGTGCAACGGCCTCTCCTGTGCCCTGGTGACGTCTCCCTGGCATTGTTTCTGCTCCAAGTGCCAACTTGGGGATCAGGCCTCACTGTTACCAGCCTGGTGTCTGCACCACCCCTTGTGGTTTTCTTAAACCCTCCTCACAATTTTGTACACTGTCCTTTTATTAAACACTCCTTAAATGATCCCAACTTGAATGTTCTTTGTTTCTTCTCTAGTGGGACTCTGACTGACACCCCTGAGAAGGGACAGGAGGATCAACAATGTAACATAGACCTCTTTCCATTCCCTTTGGCAGATACACATGTCACGTGGTTGCTGTTCTCTGTCTTAATTTGGGTGGTGTAACTACTTGCAACTTCACTGATCTCTCCCTCACCTCCTCCTGGGAGAAGGCCAGAGGAATGTTGAGGCCACAGCAAACCACAATGAGGACCCAAGCGTCTGCAGGACCACAGGGAATTCTGGGCACAGCTCTGCCAAGAATCCTTCCTACCCCCTATTTTCTCAACCAAAATGCTGTCTAATATATTTTCATCACTTCCCTGTACCCACTATGAAAAGTGCTCTTGGAAACTGACATTGGGTCAAGCATACAGAAATAGTTAATATTTAGTTTTACCTCAGAAATTGTGGTCGTTCTGTTATTTATAGCATCTGCAGGAAATGCTTATTTGCTCTTGGAATCCAACATTCTTAATAGGACATCAAGCAATGTTTTCCAGGCACACAGGGTTTATATGGTAGAGCCAGGAGCATTTCATTTGTCCTTCTTACCGGCACCCACCTGGGTCACACAGTACCTGGCCATTCAGCACAGGAGGAGCAAAGGGTGAATTGAATATTGGCATCCAGCTGGGCCACGCCTGGAGGTTGGCAGACATCCGAGTATGTTACGCTTTCCTCCTCCTGTGCTGTATTCATTCCACAAATGTTTATGGCATATTGACCACACCCAGACCCTCTGTTACGTCCCCTGTGGGAGGTCAAATACATGAAAATGACTTGGTGCTGTCTTCAGAGGCTGCAGTTCAGCCCAGCCACGTGAGGCCACCATCAAGACCGCCTTTCACCCAGAGCCCCTTAGGACTAGTGTGGAGATTTGGGGAGCCTGAGTCTGCCCAGATTCTCTGATTTGAATAGAGCAATAACACTTTATTTGCTTTACATGTTAACTGAAAGCCCAGTCAGTCACTGGAACAAAGAGTTTGAGCATTTCAAAGTCAGGTAGGAATGCACTGATCTGTAGCAGGGTTCCAAGCCTGTCTACCCAGGATCAGCTGGAAAGATGTTTGATAATGGAGGGCACAGGTTTTACCACCATTAAAATGAACGACACCTGGTGGAGGTACATTCCAGAGCTTTAGCAAGCTCTGCAGGTGAGCCTGGGTGCACAGCCTGGCAGACTTGGGAGCCGTGTGTCTAGACCCAGGGTGAAGGCGGTGCTGTGCATTAGGGCAACAAGCTGCTTGTTTATGCCCAGACCCCACCCCAGAAAATCTGTGTAGGCACGACAGGGCTTGAGCATCCATATTTGAATAAATAGTACAATACTGCAGGTGACTCTAGTGCAAGCAGCTGGGGACCACAGGTGGAGAAGCATGGTGCAGAGGACCCTGAAATACAGGAACACAGCGCCAGCACATCTGCCGTGCTGGAGTTCTGCAAATGATGGCTTCAGCTCCACAGATGGTGGTTTCCCTTATAACAATTTGAGGCTTAAAAATAGGGCTTCACTTAAAAAGAACAGTGGATATTTCTGAGTGGTGGAATGATGAGTGGTTTCTAAATGTGTCTTCCTTATGTTTGTCTGAACTTTCTGGGTTTTTTTCTATCTTTATCCATTTATTGATGCAATAAATCTTAAGCATATAGTATATGCCACCTACTATATTGTTTCAGCAAAATGATATTAATTAATAATGTAATAATATACTAATTAATATAGGAGTGCAACTAAGAAATCTGTCTGCTTTCTAAGCAATAATTTTAGAGAGGCATTTTTATCCTCCATAGTTTGGTTCTTGGCCTCCTCATTCATAGAAATCACATTATATACACTTCCCAGGGGCTTGTCAAAGCCTATTTAATCAATAGCAAGCTGACATATTTTATTTGCTCCCTTCGAGTTGACCCATCTATTTTATAAATGTGCGGGGTGAGGCTTCCTCTTCTTCAGGTTCCTTTCCTGTATCTTTTTATTTTCTGCAACCTCTTATATTGTTCATAACCACATTTCTCCTATTAGTCATCTTCCCTGCTTTGAATCTCTAGTTAATATAGGAAAAGCTTCATACAAAGTACTGACAATGGTAGCAAATCAGTATCTTAATGTTCTACAGCTGTATTAAACAAGCAAGGAGACTGTCAAACTTTAGTAAGTAAAACAGCAACAGAATCTGCACATCTCCATTTACCAACCTTCTTCATGCATTCTTTCAGTTACACCGTGTAATGAACAGACTCTTCTGGCCTAGAACAATAACATCCACAGATAAGACTGCTTATGAGAAATGTGTTCTGTAATTTGTCCATTCATTCATTTATTCACCAAGTATTTGTTTAGTGTCTGCTATGTGCCTGGAACTTGGACGCAGCAGTGACAAAAGAGACAAAAATTTCTGCCCTGGTGAAGCTTATGTCCTGCGGGTAGAGACAGAGAGAATAAATAGGTAGAAGACACAGTATGTTAAAAGGTGGAGAAATAAGCCCATGTGAGGGGTCCCTGAGTCTGCGGAGTGGCAGCTCTAACTGAAATAGTAAGGGTAGAGCTAATAAGAAGTGGCTTTTGAGCAAAGCCTTGACAAGGTGAGGAACCACTCACACTGTAAAAGACACCTGCAGGTCAAGGTGTCCTCAGGTTGAGAAGTGCCTCATCTCATGCCAACTTTTCAACTTAAAAGATACAGTTTTTGTATGATACTGCACAGATACTGTCTTACTGGGCAATTTTCCTTCCATCTCAGGATAATAAAAGGTAAAACCGGAGGGCACTTCACACATCATAGCCAGAATCACAGTAAATCTGTGTTTCCTTCTTAT
Source organism: Homo sapiens (assembly GCF_000001405.40). Taxonomy (NCBI): domain Eukaryota; kingdom Metazoa; phylum Chordata; class Mammalia; order Primates; family Hominidae; genus Homo; species Homo sapiens. Next base: position 121,776 of record NT_187647.1, read on the forward strand.
AAGTGCTCTTTTAAAGTCTGATAGCTCAACAAGTATTGTAGACTGTACAGTTGTCCTTCAGTGGAAGGAGAAACATCTACACAAAGTATGTCATTTATTTTCTTCTCAGGCTCTTTCTTTAAAATACCTGCCATTTGTCATGGACCTCTAAGGCTGTCTGGCTCATAATGTTAGCAGAATCTTTTCTATTAGTGTAATTTGCTCCCAGTAGGGCAAAAAAATCTCGAAATAATAATATTCTTATGTTTCTTTCCTCTACTTCCTTCTGCATGACTTTGCACTCACTAGTTGACTACAGCATCCACATTGCCTTGAAAAGAAGTAGGATTTTTTTTTTAGCTGAAATGAAAAGTGGAAGAAAGAGTAAATTTTCCTTTTTTTTCTTCCCAAACAGGAACAGTACAACATGAGGAAGCAGAATCAATGCACAGAAATTAAGCTAATGTCTTCAGTCTTTGCAACACCACTTGAGCAGCTTGACCAAGTCACTCATGCCTAGTGGCCCCGTTAGTTGCTCTTCTCCCATCAATGAGCTTTGGAATTTTCGTCAGTAGCTGCCTATGCATTACTCATGGATCAGAGAGCAGAAAGAAACCAGACATTGCCAAGTCCCACCTAGGTAGCTACACAGGGAGCCCTGTATTGACCATGGCCCAGAACATGTGCAAGCGCCTTCCCATATGAGAGGGAGGGGCATTGGATTAAGAACCTGGTGACTCAGAAGGAAATATCCCCACCAGTGCTTTGGTGGGACTAGAAAATGGAGCCCACTCCTGACACCAGGAAGTGCTCATCTGGAGTTTAATTGAAGACAAAAACCCCAATGTTGGTGCCCAAATGTCTCTGCCTTTTGAAATTGTTGTGTAAATTCACTGATAATTCTCTTAGATTCACGTGGAGACATTAGTATTTTAACTGTTATTCATCCCTTTAAGGTCATCTTTAGAAGACCCTACATTGTGTTCTAATTGCTCAGCAGGGCTCCCTCCTAGAAGTTTAGACAACAAACTTATGCACATGTGGACTGCACCATCAGTGCCCTGGTTATGTTGGAGTAAAAGTGTAGAGAATTTTTAGGAAAACAGGCAGAAGTGTAGGTATTTTTGCTATTCTTTGCTTCACCTATCCACGGAGGTGGATAAAGACACCTGGGAAGGGGAAAATGTGGGCTAGCAAATAGAGAAGAGGCTGCTACTAGGCTGGGAAGTGCCTCCCTCATTTACGACTAGCCAGAGACACTGAACTTGGCTGTCCAGGCAAGCTTGGGTTCTGGGATATACCGAAATAAACCTTGGCCTTTATACAGACTTATTCCTCAAGCCAAGTTGTTTCACCAACTTGGTTCTGAAGATCCAGACCCCAGTTGGCATGAATCCATCCCCCTTAGACCCCAGCTGGCATGAATCCATCCCCCTTTCCATCTTGCCATCTTCAGCCCTCCCGGTGGAGCGGAGGTTCTCACCTAAATAGAGAAGCTAAATTTCTACCTTCTGATTTTACCTTTTCCATGTGTGCATCAGGCACTTTCTCCAAAAGATAAGAATCATTTGTGTTGACATCTTCACTTATTCAGTTCCACCTTCTCTTCTAACTTAGTAAGGATTTCTGCTAGTTAAATTGGCTTTAATTTCTTTTGCTCCCAGAAGTTATTGGAAGAATGCCCATTAACCATTTCATCATATTATTTCTATAACCCAAATTAATTTTCCAGAACATGCAGCATATCACCATAATGAGTTGCTATGACCAGTTGCATTAGAAAATATTGCCTTTCTATTTTTTTCTGTATTTTTAAATTCAATCAAAAAGGAATAAACTTCTGCTGACGAAGCTGCTTGGAAAAACCCATGCTGTTTAACGTGCACTTTCACTACCTTCAGTTTACCGGCTTCTTTGCTGAAACCCTGGGACCAACCATCTGTGGCCGGTCGTCATCATTTGTACAACCAGTGGCCCTAACTGGAAACTTGGAAAATTCCCACTCCTGGACAATCTGGCACATGGAAACATTCTTCTCAAGATGTGCTAGAATTAAGACTCATTAACGAACAGAAAGCACCAACAGCTCTCATAGTTTACAATAGGCACAGGCCCAGTGGGGTGCTGGAGGTGGCTGGAATCGGCTTGGGGGAGTGGACCAAGTGCACCCCTTCCCGCCTCCTCATTCAGTGTTGTCTCATGGGCAGTGTGAAATTAGCCATGGTTGGAGTCTATACATAACAGAAATTAGCAAATGCTACAAGTAAGGGCTTCCTCACACTCCTGCCCCTCTTCGGAAGAGCTGGGTTTTCAGCTCACCCCGGACATAATGCACTTGGCTACCTGGGCCATGGCCAGGGTATGAATGTTTGGTTCCCCCACAAGATTCCTGTGCTGAAATCCTAATCCCCGTGTGACGGTGTTAGGAGGCAGGGTCTTTGGGAGGTGATGAGGTCACGGAGGGGAGCTCTTGTAAATGGGATTAGTGCCCTTAGAAGGAGACCCCAGAGAGCTGCCTCTCCCCTCCAGTCACGGTGGACAGGAGATCAGGGTGAGTGAAGTCAGAGGCTGTCTGAGGGCCAGCCCTGCCAGTGCTAAGAGGTCCTGCTGCCTGGACACCCAGCCACTAGTGGCCTCATATTTGGTGGACATAGGGAGAAGGCTGTAGGAATTCCAGGCTCAAATGACAACAGAGACAGACACCACCTGTTGTATGAACAAATTGCAGCCAGGAGTTTGGTCCGGGTCTGAGTTCTGCCATCCCTGCTTGGGCTGTGTGTGTCTCATTGCTTGGATCTCGTGTAAGGCAACAGAGAAACAAAAAAGCCATGTCACCATAGAAATAATCATTAACACAATGAGCAAACACTGATACCACATCTGACTGACTTTGCGGCCTTGGCCCACTCCCGGGGTTTCAGCAAAAGTCGTGCCCTTTGGATTGCACATTTCCAGCTAGATGTGCAGCCCGTGTGTTGCACCTCTCTTTCCATTCCTTCTCCACAGTTAGAGGTGGACACTCAAGGCTCCAAAAAGTATAAGACTTTCATCTCAGCCTTCAGAGGGCTTTCAGTCTCCATGGGGAACTGAGTTTTTTTTTTGTTTGTTTGTTTCATTTTGTTTTGTTTTAAGTAGAGAGCAGGGCTGGGCTAAGATTTAAATAACTGAAACAAGTCATAAGGTGCTGATTTCCTGGAAGACAACCTAGGCAATACCATCCTGGACACTGGAAAGGGCAAATATTTCATGACGAACACACCAAAAGCAATAGCAACAAAAGCAAAAATTGACATATGGGATCCGACTAAAGTTAAGAGCTTCTGCACAGCAAAAGAAACTATCAGCAGAGAAAACAGATCATCTATGGAATGGGAGAAAATATTTGCAAACTATGTATCTGACAAAGGTCTAATATCCAGCATCCATAGGGAACTAAATTTACAAGAAAAAAAACAAACAACCCCATTAAAAAGTGAGCAAAGGACATGAACATACGCTTTTCAAAAGAAGACATACATGTGGCTAACAAGCACATTTTAAAAAGTTCAATATCACTGATCATTAGAGAAATGCAAATTGAAACCATCATGAGATACCATCTCACACCAGTCGGAGTAGCTATTACTAAAAAGTCAAATAATAACAGATGCTGGCAAGGTTGCAGAGAAAAGGGAACACTTATACGCTGATGATAGGAGCGTAAATTAGTTCAACCATTGTGGAAAGCAGTATCGTGATTCCTCAAAGAGCTAAAAGAATTACCATTCCACTCAGCAATCCCATTACTGGGTACATACACAGAGGAATAGAAATTGTTCTACAGTAAAGATGCATGCACGTGTTTTTTCATTGCAATCCGCAGCTCACTTCACCCTCCACCTCATGGGCTCAAGCAACCCTCCCACCTCAGCCTCCTGAGTAGCTGGGACTATAAGCCCACACTACTCTGTTCATAATAGCAAAGGCAAGGAATCAATCTATTGCCCAAAAATGATAGACTGGATAAAAAAAAAATAAGTGGTACGTATACACCATGGAATACTATGCAGCCATAAAAAAGAATGAGATCCTGTTTTCTGCAGGAACATAGATGGGACTGGAGGCCATTATCCTCATATCCTAAATTATGAGAACACATGGACACACAGAGGGGAACAACACATACTGGGGCCTACTTGAGGCTGGAGGGTGGGAGGAGGGAGAGGATCAGAAAGACTATCTATTGCGTACTAGGCTAATACCTGGGTGATGAAATAATCTGTACAACAAACCCCCCAGACATGAGTTTACCTACATAGCAAACCTGTACATGTAGGGTGATGAAATAATCTGTACAACAAACCCCCCAGACATGAGTTTACCTGTATAGCAAACCTGTACATGTAGGGTGATGAAATAATCTGTACAACAAACCCCCCAGACATGAGTTTACCTGTATAGCAAACCTGTACATGTAGGGTGATGAAATAATCTGTACAACAAACCCCCAGACATGAGTTTACCTACATAGCAAACCTGTACATGTAGGGTGATGAAATAATCTGTACAACAAACCCCCAGACATGAGTTTACCTGTATAGCAAACCTGTACATGTAGGGTGATGAAATAATCTGTACAACAAACCCCCCAGACATGAGTTTACCTACATAGCAAACCTGTACATGTAGGGTGATGAAATAATCTGTCCAACAAACCCCCAGACATGAGTTTACCTGTATAGCAAACCTGTACATGTAGGGTGATGAAATAATCTGTACAACAAACCCCCCAGACATGAGTTTACCTACACAGCAAACCTGTACATGTAGGGTGATGAAATAATCTGTACAACAAACCCCCCAGACATGAGTTTACCTGTATAGCAAACCTGTACATGTAGGGTGATGAAATAATCTGTACAACAAACCCCCAGACATGAGTTTACCTGTATAGCAAACCTGTACATGTAGGGTGATGAAATAATCTGTACAACAAACCCCCAGACATGAGTTTACCTGCATAGCAAACCTGTACATGTAGGGTGATGAAATAATCTGTCCAACAAACCCCCAGACATGAGTTTACCTGTATAGCAAACCTGTACATGTAGGGTGATGAAATAATCTGTACAACAAACCCCCCAGACATGAGTTTACCTACATAGCAAACCTGTACATGTAGGGTGATGAAATAATCTGTACAACAAACCCCCCAGACATGAGTTTACCTGTATAGCAAACCTGTACATGTAGGGTGATGAAATAATCTGTACAACAAACCCCCAGACATGAGTTTACCTGTATAGCAAACCTGTACATGTAGGGTGATGAAATAATCTGTACAACAAACCCCCCAGACATGAGTTTACCTGTATAGCAAACCTGTACATGTAGGGTGATGAAATAATCTGTACAACAAACCCCCAGACATGAGTTTACCTGTATAGCAAACCTGTACATGTAGGGTGATGAAATAATCTGTACAACAAACCCCCCAGACATGAGTTTACTTGTATAGCAAACCTGTACATGTAGGGTGATGAAATAATCTGTACAACAAACCCCCCAGACATGAGTTTACTTGTATAGCAAACCTGTACATGTAGGGTGATGAAATAATCTGTACAACAAACCCCCCAGACATGAGTTTACTTGTATAGCAAACCTGTACATGTAGGGTGATGAAATAATCTGTACAACAAACCCCCCAGACATGAGTTTACCTACATAGCAAACCTGTACATGTAGGGTGATGAAATAATCTGTACAACAAACCCCCAGACATGAGTTTACCTGTATAGCAAACCTGTACATGTAGCCCTGAGCCTAAAATAATAGATTATTTTAAAAAGATACTGGATTTATGAAGTCCCCAGGAGGTCAGGAGGAAGAGAGAACGCTTGAGACAAGCATGGTCAGTGAGGAGCTTGCAGGGATGGCAGAGGGGCAGGGAGCAGCAGAGTTTGAGTAGAGGAACCAGAAGCCCAGCCCTGGACCCATCTCTGCCTTCCTGTGTGTGCGCCTAACTCAGCTTTCAGGTGAGAGCTGGGGCTCAGGAGGTTATGTACTCACTTGCAGTTGCACGTCTAGGAATCCAGATGATGGTCCCATGTCTGCTGTGCCCCCGCCCTACTCTATTGCTAGGACAGCCAACCTCTACTCAGGGGCTGCAGCCGGTCAGCTGGCATCTACCAGGCTCAGCTGAGAGGGGTTCAGAGCCTAGAGGAGCTGTGGCATGCCAGGTCTAGGCTGCCTGTTGGCTGCTGTCAGGATGAATGCTGTTGTAGATAGATTCTTTTTGGCAACCAGAGACTTTCAGACGTCAATGGCCATGCAGTCTCCATGTTGCCCTTCCCATCCTGACACCACACACTCCTTATGCTGCAGCCACCATGGATGCCTGAGTGAACAGCCCTCAAATTCTATTCTAACTCCTTATTTAAAAGATAAGGAGACCCAAGACTGAGGAATTTGACATAAATAAGGAAACCGGCTTGCCTGAGCTGACTACTGCCTTTGGTCTCACGATAGCTGCCTGGTGGCCTCTGACTTTCACAGCTAGTACAACCTTCCAGCACCTTCCAGGATTGGTTTCTGAAAGAGGGGATTGTTTTTGCTCCCAGTCCCCCTAAACATTCTGTAGGTAATTACAGCACTCATGGCCCCATTTTCTCACTGTGTATTTGCCACCTTGGGTCTGTTCAGATGGCAAGCTCCCGAAAACCAGGCACCTCCTCCTTGTACCCATGGCACCATCGTGGTGCCTGGCTGCTGTCAGCACAGAGCATTAGCTCTGAGACACCTCCTCCTTGTACCCATGACACCGTCGTGGTGCCTGGCTGCTGTCAGCACAGAGCATTAGCTCTGAGACACCTCCTCCTTGTACCCATGACACCGTCGTGGTGCCTGGCTGCTGTCAGCACAGAGCATTAGCTCTGAGACACCTCCTCCTTGTACCCATGGCACCGTCGTGGTGCCTGGCTGCTGTCAGCACAGAGCATTAGCTCTGAGACACCTCCTCCTTGTACCCATGACACCGTCGTGGTGCCTGGCTGCTGTCAGCACAGAGCATTAGCTCTGAGACACCTCCTCCTTGTACCCATGACACCGTCGTGGTGCCTGGCTGCTGTCAGCACAGAGCATTAGCTCTGAGACACCTCCTCCTTGTACCCATGGCACCGTCATGGTGCCTGGCTGCTGTCAGCACAGAGCATTAGCTCTGAGACACCTCCTCCTTGTACCCATGACACCGTCGTGGTGCCTGGCTGCTGTCAGCACAGAGCATTAGCTCTGAGACACCTCCTCCTTGTACCCATGGCACCGTCGTGGTGCCTGGCTGCTGTCAGCACAGAGCATTAGCTCTGAGACACCTCCTCCTTGTACCCATGACACCGTCGTGGTGCCTGGCTGCTGCATTAGCTCTGAGACACTGCTGTGTTTCCCTCCTAGTTCTGCATCAGGTGGTACTGTTTTGTTTTGGTGGCTTGGTTCATTTTTTCTTATTGCAGTATTATCACTGCATAGAAAGCAGAAGTGGTCTTCCCATATTGTGTAAAATCCCCATTAAACATACACCACATGCTTCAGAGCGGCAGGAACAGGAAGAAGGATGGGATTCCCCGTGCCCGAAGGTATACCAAGTCTACATTGTCCTGAGAGTTAGGGACTACAAACACTTGTCCGTGCAGCATTTGGGAAGGTCAGAGGAGACGACTGTGTGGTGTGCATTGGAGAAGCGTGGGGCCCCTGTGCTCACCACCACCCTAAGCCCCTGTGAGGCAGGGGGCACCTGGTGCACTGTGACCAGCACTCTCCCAGCTTCCTGCCAGGAGGAGCCAGCTCCTTAGGTTCTGTAGGGTTTGACTTAAAGAAAATTTTAAAACGTGATTTTTCAATAAGTTGGTTGCCAAAAAATCTCTGTGGTTAAGGAGGCACCTCCCTCCTGGTCACTACTTCCCCCTGCCGAGCCTTCTGCCTGGGCAACTGCACCACAATCTCCAGCTGCACCATGTGTTTTGAAAAGCGTTTCTCCCCGCCCCTCTGGGGTTTTTCTCCTCCTCCAGTGGCGAAATTTCAGAGGGCACTGAGTGGGTTACTCTTCACAAGCACAGAGCTAAGCCCAGTCCTGGTAGAAAGCACACACAAAGAAGACCCAAGACCATGAATATGCTGACCTAAGTTGGACAGAACTGCTTCATGGCTTCCTGCTGTTACTCCATGGGTTTCTGATCCTGTTCTGTAGGTTTCTGCTGTTACTCTGAGTTCCTGCTATTACTCTGTGGGTTCCTGCTGTTACTCTGTAGGCTCTGCTATTACACTATGGGTTCTGATGTTACTCTGTGAATTCCTGCTGTTACTCTGTGGGCTCTGATGTTACACTGTGGGTCCTGTTTTTACTCTGTGGGTTCTGATATTACTCTGTGGACTCTGATGTTACTCTGTGGGTTCCTGCTATTTCTCTGTGTGTCCTGCTGTTACTCTCTGGGCTCTTGTGTTACTCTGTGGGTTCCGACATTACTCTGTGGGCTCTGCTGTTACTCTGTGGGTTCTGACGTTACTTTGTGGGCTCTGCTGTTACTCTGTGGGCTCTGATGTTACACTGTGGGTTCTGCTGTTACTCTGTGAATTCCTGCTGTTACTCTGTGGATCTCTCTGTGGTTACTCTCTGAATTCCTGCTCTTATTCTGTGGACTTCTTTTGTTGCTTTGTGAGTTTCTGCAGTTAGTTTACCTCTTTACCATCCAGCCAGGAATTCTTTCACTAGGAATTGTGTGGATGCTGGCCAATTGGGCTAAATTTAATATTACTATGTCCCCTATTGTGGTGGTGGGGTCTTGGCTTGGCAATTTCTACTAGTATTCCATATGCAGTTAATCTTGACACATCAGTGAAAGAAAAATAAAATCTCAGGCCTCCAAACTTACTATGCCAAAGGGAAAAGTTAATATTGGCAACACACACACACACACGCACACACACACACACACACACATACATGCCTTCTTTTTGTTCCCAAAAGCTTACTTTATCTTATGTGAAATGTAGATCTACTGAGTATGAGACAGATGTATAACCCTCCCCCATACCTTTCTTTTCACATGTGAAATGTAGATTTGCTGTACTCTAATCAGAGCCTCACAAAAATGTGACCACTTGCCTCATAGCCTACTCTCCCCTCTTTCCCCTCCTACCGGCGCTTTTCCCTTAAATATTTGGAAAAAAGTACAGGCCAAAAATCCTACTGTAACCTGTGTTTCTTTTTCCCCAGGCAAATCCACAATTTTGGCAAAATAAACCTCTATATCAGTTGTGATCTGCCTCAGACACTTTTTGGTTTACACAACAATCCAATCATAGCGATTTATTTGGAAATATACCTTCACAAGTTAAATCAAACCACAGCACTACTGGGCATTATTTGTAATGGCAAACTATTGCAAACAATCTAAAGCCCATCATAGACATCATAGAAACTATTCTAATAAATTGATACATTTATATAATGGAATAATCCGCAACCTTGAAGGGAATGAAGGAAGGAATAAAGAGAGAGGGTAAGGAAGAAAAGAAAGGAGAGAGGGAAGGAGGGACAGACAGGTGTTTAAATTGGGGATGTGCAAGCAATATTGCCTGCTTCATTGCCTTCACATTATCTAAAAGCATGTGGTCAAGAAACACTATTACAATAAGCACATCAGAAATAACTTCTAAAATTACTTTTCCAAAATATGAATCCATACTATACACTTCCTGTAATGTGCACCAAATGTAGATGCACACATTTTAACAAGGAAAAGACTAATACTCATATTTGCTTGCTACACACCAGACACTGTTTTAAATGTTTTGCACACGTTAACTCATCTGTTCTTACAGAAATCCTGTAGCGTGCACCGCCACCTCCATGTTTCTAGGAGGAAACTGAGGCACGGGGGCTGCGGCTCCTGGACGCACCTGGCCTTCTCGGCCTGCCTCTCTCCCTCCAGCCGCCCCACATTCTTTTTTCCTAATTGGAAAAAACTATTCACGCTGCTCCTCCAGGGCATTTCAACCTTCTAGAAAGACTCGACAAGATTCGAAACTGTTTATAAAGAGAACGTGCTTGTGCCTGAATGCTGAGTGTGAGCGCGCAGTGATGCCCTAGAGTGCAGTCATCCCGGGCTTGGCGCCCAGCGGGTGGAAATACGGCCGCAGGGTGGAAATGCGGCGGCGGGGCTGCCCAGGCTCCTGTGGGACCCGCGCGGCGCGGGCACGCACATTCTCAGGGACGCGCGTCCTCAGGCCACGAGAACACCTGAAGGCCCCGGCCAGCGTCCTCCAGTGAAGACCCGGACCGGCGTCGTCACCCGCCGCGCAGGCCTAAATCTCAGGTCTTCACCGTCATCTCCCAGCGATCGCAGGGATCTCAGGCACTGACCGCGCCCGTCCCTGCGCCCCCCCGCCCCCGCCCCCCCGCGCCCCCGCGCCCCCGCGCCCCCGCGCCCCCACACCTCCACGCCCGGCACTCTGGGCGCGCGCGGACGGCGGGGCAGTGCCTACTACGCAGGCGCACGCTGCGGGCGTCAGGACCCGGCAGCAACACTGCCACGCGAATCCGCGCCGGCCAATCAGCATGGCCAGGGGCGGGGCTTCCCTGAGGCGCGCCGAGAGGCGGTGGCCCACTTCCGGCAATAATCGCCTGGTCGCCGTCAGGTGCCGGCCCAGGTGGCAGGCGCGCCCGTTGGGCACTGGGGGACGCGGGCGCGTCAGGTGAAGACTGGGGGCTGCAGGCGCGCTAGGTAGGTACGGGGTGCCGCGGGCGCGTCAGGTGAAGACTGGGCGCCGCAGGCGCCTTAGGTGAAGATTGGGGATCGCGGGCGCGTCAGGTGGGGACGATGGGCCACGGGCGAGTCAGGTGAAGACCGGGGGCGGCGGGCGCGTCAGGGGAAGACATGGGGTCGCGGGCGCGTCAGGTGGGGACCGGGGGTCTCGGGCGCGTCAGGTGGGGACGGGGTTGTCGCGGGCGCGTCAGGTGGGGACGGGGTTGTCGCGGGCGCGTCAGATGGGGACGGGATTGCCGCGTGCGCGTCTGCTGAGGTCTGGGTCCGCGGGCGCGTCAGGAAGGGACGATGGGCCGCGGGCGCGTCAGGTGGGGTCTGGGGGCGGCCGGCGGGTGTGGAGGGTTCATTCAGGGAGCTGCGGGCGAGTCAGGTGGGCACGGGGACCGCCCACAGGTGCATCGCGTGTCCTCAGCCGCTTCCCCTGCCCACCTTCTGCGACCCCTTCCCGCCCCCACCCTCCTGGGCCGTCTTGCAGGCCCGAGCTTGTGTCCGCCTCGCTGGGCAAGGTGTTTCGGGGACGACTCCTGCCGGCGTTTGCCCTCCGGGCTCGGCCCTTGCCTCTTCGCCGGTGGGCACCTGCTAGGTGTGACCCCTCATTCCTCCAGGCCACTCTGCCCCGTCTGCTGCTTACCTTTTTTTCCCTACTCCTGGTCTGTGGCTCTGGCTCTGTCTCTGTCTCCTCCCTTAATTTCTTTCCATGCTTATTTTTCTTGCAGCAGACACTAATTTTGCATCCTTCCCCTCACAGTAAGCTCAATTTGACCTTTTTCTCAATTAGATTCCACCTCTGTCCTTGGGTCTATTCAAACTCATTTTGAAGACTAAAGAATCTAGAGAACCATTTCTTCCCTTATGAAGCTGTCTCTTGCTGCCTCCAAATCCTTACCATCCGGCCCTAATCAAAAAAGACGTTTACTCTTTCATATTCTGTTTTCTCCTCGTCTTTACATGTTTACCTTTCCCATGAGGAATCTGTGATTATCTGTAAGTCCTTACAGTAAATCTTATTTCTGACTCTCAGCCCTCAGTGTGCCATTTTTTTAAATGTCCTTTCTGGATCAAATTTGTCCACACTTTTAAGCAAAACAAATAGGGAAACACATGTGGTCTTTTAAAATGGATTAGAGTTTTCTTTCCTGTCTTGTTTTCCTTGTTTTAGTGCCTTTATATTTAGATTCATCATTACTTGAAATCATATTAGTGATCTGTAATAGACGGTAAAAAAAAAAGTTAAAAGGCTTATAATTTAATGGCATCTGTTTTAATAGGGTTTTCAGGAACTGCTATTATAAACATAGTGGGTAGGAGCATGGATCCCGGAGTGAGACTCCATCATTTTGAATCCCAGCTCCACTGAACTCTTTGCCTCAGTGTCTTCATCTATAAAATAGATAATGAAACTTGTAAAACAAGAATAATGTTTTCTATCTTGGAGGACAGCATGAGGATTAAATGAGACAACATATGTAGATTGTTTAGAGTAATGCATAGCCTATAGTAAGCTCTAATAAATGTTTGCCATTATTATTGTAAAGAAAAAATATGCTTGTTGAAGGAAAGACTTTTTTTTTGTTCTGAGTCTCTCATGCCAAGAGTTTCCACCAGCAAATGAACTTCATGAAGTCATTTTCTACTGAAGTACCCCACCCACATGTCCTACCACATGAAATAGAAATTAAGGGAAGATTTAAAATAGTTAATCATTGTAGGCTGTCTGAAATAAGTTGGCATAAAATGTGCTTAAAATTTGCAAATTATACAAGCTACACCCTTTGAGTGCTTGCTCTTAAAAGTTTAATAATTTTCAGGAGTAATTTCTAGTTTTTTTTTGTATTTGCAAATCCCAAAATAAAGGTAATTTTAATTAAAATAAGCGTACAAAGCTCTAGCAATTCACATTTTTTTAGCTGAACAAATACATTCCCATTAAAAGCCGTGGGTTGTCATCATTCTATAAAACTTTAGTAGCATTGTTTTCTGATTTACAAACTCAGAAGCCTCAGTTTGGGAGTATTTTTGAAAACTTGAGATCCAGACCCCAGACCTTTTAAATTGCAACTTGTCTTTTTTTGTTGTTGTTGTTGTTTTTAATCTGCATCCAGAGTTTGTGCTTTAGTTCATGAGCTGTATAGATTATGCTTTAAGAAAAACTTCATTGTGATCCAAAGAGCATACCATAACAAATCTGTGAAGCACACACATCTTCAGAGAAACAAATCTTTTCCTCTGTGTTGAAAATAAGCCTTTGGGCATGGACTATTTTTTTATTTCCATGGCTGCATTTCACTCCTTTCAACCCTTAAAAAAATCAAACTTAGCAGCTGAGAAATTCAGACCAAACTATTCATTTCTCACTGAGTTGCCAAAATGAATTAACTGTAGAGTTTAGGTAGTTGTAAAAGAATTGGTTATATTAATGGAAACAGTAGGCAGGCTCTTTATGTAAATGTTATAAAGATTGTTTGTGAAACTAGAAGATAAGTGTATTAAATGATGAGTGGGCATAGTGTCTAAATAGGTAAGTACAATATTTGTGTGTCATCACGTTTTAAAATATTTTGTCAGCTGAGGATACCGGGATGTACATAGGACAGTCATCCAGATAAGGTTCTGTTGGCAAGATATTTGTTGCCTAGTTGTTTTTTTCTGTCTCCATGTTTTTCATTTGATCTATCCTACAAGCCCTAGAAAATTATTATTCTCAAAACAACACTGCTCACACTGATCTGTTGCTGAAAAACGTTTAATTACTGACAGAATAAAGTCTAAACACCTTTGATATTCTTTGATATTCTTCTATGACCTGGCTTCTAGTCACTTTCCCAGCTTATGTACCAGTCCTCTGATAAACTTTCTCCATTTTATCCAATCTTTTCTGCTTATTTTTCTCAAACTGTGGCACACATTTTGACCTTTATACTTATGCACCCACCATTCCCATGATTGATATTTTTTGCCTTGCCTCTCCATTAATTTAAGATCTAACCATGCTTTAGGGCCAAGATCAAGTCCTAGTTTCTCGTCAGAGCTTTCCCAGCTGATTTGCTTTCTGCTCAAATTAACTTTATTCTCTCTTTACCACAAGTTACAAGATTGTGGACATATGTGTATGTATGTATACATGCACACTCACATATCTACATGTAAACACACTTTATTATAGTACACTTGTATGGAATTTGTGTTTTGCTATTGTTCTTTTTTAGTTCCTTAGCTAAATTGCACACTTTTGAGGGCAGGAACACCTAGCATAATAACATGTAGTTGGTGCTCAAATGTTTGTCGTTGAAGTAATCCTGTATTTGTTAGCAGTAACAAATACAAATCCTGTATTTGTTAGCAGTAACAAAATCTGTTAGCAGTATTTTTCAGGATTATCCACTTGATTTTTTTTTAAAATATATATTTCTGAATCCACAGTTTCAAGTTGATATTGAGAGATAATTTGATAATTATCAGAGATGTTCCTAGCAGCCATTTTCTGTTGAATGTGTTTTATGAGACTCAAGGTGCCACTTAAACAGGCATCTGCTACTTCATGGTCTTTTCTGCCTTTGGTGGGAATGTTCTTGAAAATCATAAAATCAGCTGTATGCTATTAGAGATAGTTTTAGATAACTCTAGATCGACTGAACATGGGCATTGAGTTTTGCATTTTAAGATGTTCAGTAGTTGTGAAGCAGTTCTGTGAGACAAAGTTTATCAAAATTGTGCTGAAATTTAAGGAATAAAGTATTTTCTAAAGCAAGAATTTAAATTAATCATTATGTGACTGAAAAAGACATGTTCTGACTATAAGTCAGTTTAGCAAGGTTTGAGATTTTCTTCGTGTAAAGAATAATTACTTCATCATACATTTCCTACACCAGTCAAGAGTTAAGCATTTGTGGTTGATCCAGGAATATTGTTGAAGTCTATGTAATTTCCTTCCTTTTTTTTTCTGTATCTTCTAGGATTGTATAAGTGCCCATTTAATAACTTGTTTTTTGTTAATTATACTAAATATAGTTGGGAGGTGGTGTTTGGAGATGTTCATCTCTCATTTATTCTCCATGATGTAAATATTCTACATTATTCTCTACGATATAAATATTCTACATTATAAAATACTCAAGTCTGTTCGGGACGTGAAATTAAAGTAACACATTACAGAAACCACTTTTACTTGAGTAATTCAGCTACCTTTCTGTAGCTAAATTCAACGTATATTTTCAACTCTTGCCATGCTTGGCGTTTTTATAACATTTTCGTCTCTGTCGATCATTTCTTTCTTGAAATACATTTTTCTCCTGGCTTCCTACTTCTCCCTCTACCTTTTTGGCTCTTCCTTTTCAGTTTTTCTTTTTGGCTTATATCTGCTGGTCCCTTAAATGGTGATGTTTCTTAGGGTTTTTTTCTTGGCTCTCTTGATTTCCCTCTCGACATATTCTGTGATATTATTTGTGTGGTCTTGATTAGTATCTAAATGCTCATGATTTTCCTCTTTCTCTCTAGTCCAACTCTCTTCTGAACCATGGATCTATATATTTATTCATTCAGTAAATAAATACTTATAGAGCTCCTGTTGTTTTCCTGGCATTGTTCAAGGTAATGGAATACGGACCTGAACAAGACATTGCATTTTCTTGGAGGAAAACAGATGATAAACACGCTAATCATTTCAGACAGCCCTTACAACTATGAAGGCACTAGATAATGACTTAGACTGGTAGGGATGGGGTTGAGGCAGCAGAACAGCACTGTTTGGACAGGGAGTCAGGGAGCCTTTCTGGGATGTGACATTTTGAATCAGCAGTGTGAACATCTGAGGTGGTTTTTAGCCTCATGCACAGTCTCACTGTGTATGAGAATCACCTGTGGACCTTTAAAAACTATTTAAACTTAGCCTTCACCCCCAAATATTCATATTTAACTCAACTAAAATGGGACTAAGCACTTGAATGTTTAAAAACCTTCCTGTGATGTTAATGCACAGCAGTAGTTGAAAATCACTGATCAAGAGGAGCAGAAATCAAGTTAATGGGAAGAACTAGCATTTGAAGTCTCACTCTTATCAAATTGTGAGCTTCATGAAGTTAATCACGAAGTTGCATCATTTTTTAAGTCATAATTTTTATACCTGGAGTCTAGTATTTCAAACTGAACAGGCATGTCCGAAGCTGAAATTAATATCCCTTATCTCTCCTTTCCTAATAAAACCCTGCTGTTCCTTCTGTATGTCTTATCCCAGAACCAGGGGCTACAAAACAAAATCTAGATAACTTCCTTGATTTCCTCCTCACGTTTCCAGCCAGTCTTCAAGTACTGTTTGACTCTGTTTCCTAAATGTTTCTGTAGTCTCTGCTCTTCTGTTTCTTTTGCCACTGTACACTCTCACCTTTTAAAAATCAACATTCAGAAGCCTCCAGTCCCAACTACTTTCCTGCAGGTGATCCTCACCCCATACCTTCTCCCAGTGTGATACTGAGTTCTTTGTAAACCACAAATCTAATTGAATCACTTACCTGCTTACTTCCCTTTTTTGGCCCCTCATTGCCCTCAGAATAGCATCCAACTCCTCTGACTTGATCCAGCCTTAAATGACTTCTCCATCCTTAATTCTGGCCCACTCCCTCTCATCTATTCTAAGCTTCAACCAAACTGAACTACTTAGAGTTGCTGAACATGAATACATTTCATTTTTGGTTGCTCCTAACTTCTGGTAAAGAGAATACTTGTTTGGGATAATATTCCCTATTCCACACTCCCTGACCCCTGCTTGTTTTTCAGGTATGAGCTTGAATGTCACCTCTGGTAAACCTTTCGTGGGATATGCAGTATTAGGCCAGTAAAACCACGTTTACTTACCCCATTTTATCACTTTAGTACAATCAAAGTACTGTGTTATTGTCACTGTCACCAATGTCCAGCCAACATTTAATTAATGAGCAGACATTTAAATGTTAAGAACTTTAATCTTTAAAATTAATGAATAAATGTTCTAAGTGAAAAGAAACTTTTATGAATTATATATACTTTTTAACATAAATTAACTTTTTCATAGGAGAACTATGCCATTTTTGGGTCAGGACTGGAGATCTCCTGGATGGAGTTGGATTAAGACAGAAGATGGCTGGAAGAATTGTGAATCTTGTAGTCAGAAACTTGAAAGAGAGAATAACCATTGTAACATCAGTCACAGCATGTAAGTTACAGCTGAGCAGAACCATGCCATTTGCCAGTTTAGCATGTATGGCCTTACCTATTTTTCAAGTCCCTGCAAAGCTCCATAACTTTTGAGACTTGCCCACCCAGAAGGCTGGTGTGAAGAAACAAGTTATTTAGCTAAAAAATGAGGCTAGTAGATTGCCTAATATTCATACACAGATGCTTTTTTCTTTTTTTGTAATTTAAAACATTTAATCCTCACAATAATTGGGAGAGAGGTATTATTATTAATCCCACATTATAGCTGAGGAACCTGAGGAAATTAAAATACACAGTTTTGGTGGCATGTATCAGAAATGTAATAATAGTGTCTTACACAAGACAAATCAGTTTTTCTCCCTTGAAAGCCTGAGTTGGCATGATGACTTTGCTCGTAACATTGTCAAGGGGCCAAGCACAGTCTGTCTTGTTGCTCTGCCATCCCAAGAGTGCAGCCTTACCTGCATGGTCCAAAACGGTGTATTACCTTCCACATTTGCACTCAGGCCGAAGGGTAGGTGGGGTTGGTGAGACACAACCTGTGTTTCAGTGGCACAGCCCAAAAGTTACATGCATCACGTTGCCCACACCTTGTTGGCTAGAGCACTAGTGCAAGGGAGGCTGGGGGTTGTGGCCCAGCCGTGTGTCCAGATAAAAACCAGAGACTGCATGAGCACAGAACCAGGGTAGGTGGCTATCGTATGATGACTACAGTGTCTACCACAGTGGTGTTTGAGAATTTGGAGGGCTAGGAAGGTCTTGAGATAGCCTCCTCTAGAATGTCATGGGTCTAGTCATTTATTGTATATTATTTTACATTTGTGTAATTATCAACTGTGTGCTTGATGGGCCATATGTTTTTCTGACAGAAGTTTAGTAACTTTAGACCAGAGACTGGTTTTTGCAGTATTTGAAGCAGAAATTAATTTTCTATTTTTGTTACAGTGAGGATAACACATAATATTTGTTAAACTTATATTGTAGCAGTTCTCTGCCACACTAAGATGTATTTAATGTTGATAGCTGTAAAACTTATTTAAAGCTTGTAATTATGCTGTTGGTATTGCATAATGTTATACAGTTATGAATTCTCTAGGTCATTTTTACTATTTTTTACGGCAATTTTTTTAAAATTTAAAGTTGGTTGGCTGTATCTAGAAATGTTAGGTGTCTCACATTTACTCCCAATAGCCACTATTAAATGTGGATTTTAGGATGGGGAGATATATTACAGAATGTCAATTTAAAAAAAGCTGTAATGCTTGAAGTACAGTGTTACTGCTGCATCTGCGGTGAGGAATTTGTGGGAATTTGTTTTTTTCCCTCATGTATTCTTTTTCCCATCATCTCAAACACATTTTAAATGTCTGAGAATTGTTTTTTTTTTGCGCTGCACACATAAAATTAGAGAATACAGTCGAGATATGTTTTCTTTGCATAACTGGCTACCCCTCTGTCTCCCTTTCCCCTTCCCCCAAACTTACCTACAGATCCACCCCTTTGAATCAATGGCTGCTAACACAAGCGTCCCTGCGCAAAAAGGTTTTATGACAGCAACCCTGGCTACCCTTTGTGGGGCACAGTGAGCGAGAACTAGTCAGCACCACCTTTTACCCCACCTAGTTGCTTTGCAGTACTGGGACCGCCCCGGCTTCCTACTCTGCCATTTCGTTCATCTTTCGTTCATCTTCCTGGGACTTCTGTCCGTTCCTACCAAAATGCAAATCCAAACCTGTGGGTAGAGGCTGTTGGTGACCTGAAACTGCAGCAGATGTTTAATATATCCTTTCTCTGGAAGGAAAAACCGCTTAACTTTGAACCTAAAATTGATTTTAAAAAGATAAGACCATATGTAATCACCATTTAAAATCACTATATAAATGACCTTCTCTTTCCCCCACATGTCTTTGAGAAACATAGTACCCCTAATTCTTTGATTTAAGGTGGGCTTTCAAAACTTAGAAAAAGAACTATAGTAAAAATAATTTAGGTAATCAAGATTCTACGTCACTTTGTTAATTTTCTTTTTTGTGAACGTGCGGGAAAATAGGCCTTTAGTATCCTTCTGCTTACTTTTCAACTCATTTTAGTATTCAAAGTTTAGAGAACATAGGGAAGAAATTAAGCAATTCAACATGGTTGATCTGGGGGAAGCCAGCCAGTTCATACTCTGAATCCTTGATTAAGCTGCTCTTTCAAGCAACATTCATGATATTACTGAGGTTTAAACATAGTTTGATGGACAGAGGATTCATCTTAACCCTGACCTAAGGAAGCCTTTTATTAGGCTGTTGATTCAGAATAGAAGGTAGATCAGCTGGGGTCCAGATTGAAGAGAGGACAGCCAGTTAAGGGTTTCAGTAGACAGGTGAGAAATGTTGAGTGCTGCCTATGGTGATGTCTGCATAGCTGGACAGAGGGTCAGGATCAGTAAAAGAGTGAGTCACAGATTGATTGGACTAGCCAAAAGGGTGGCCCTGAGAAGGACTCTGAGGGTTCAGCTGGGGAAATGGTGTAAGTAAATAATCTGGCTGGGTCTTCTCTCCAGCATAGTGTTCCTGCCACTCAGTTTTATGTTTGACGACAGAAATTGTATGATTCCTATAAAGGAAAGATATTGAAGAAGAGTGTCTAGATACTATATATCTTTAAGAATTTCTAACTTTTTCCATCGGATTTCAGTGTTATTATGGGCACTGTAATTGCCTATAGTTATTTCAGTATAACTATAGGCACTGTTGAGGATATATAAGAAATTGTTCCTTGTCTTTTATGAAGTTGACATTTGACAAGGGAGTGTGTAGTCAAACATAATGCATTCAGCTCAGTCTTGGCAGAGATGCTTCTGGGTTCTTTGCATTGAATTTTCTAAATCTTTTTTATTGCATTATTTTTTATACCTCATAAAACATTATATTTTCTATTCAAATTTGAATGTCTTAACACTTACTTTGGTAATTTGGTTCTCAGTGGGCTTAGCAATGGGGGCCATCGTATTTTAAGGTTCTACCAAAATTATCTTCAACTCTAGTAGTTCCCAGGATATCCCAAGATAATGGAATTCTATAAAAAGCATTTTTAAATTGTGCATCCCCCAAGGAAACAAGATAGAAGAAGCTACATTTTTGGTTCCCTTATGAGAATGTGAACATAGTCTCTGGTTACCATGAGGGATAGAGAATTCAGGGGATCCTTCTAGCCCTTGAAGTGTGTACTGGGCTCGAAAGCCACTGTACCTTGGAGAGGAGACATCCTGTATCCATTTAAGTAAATATCCTTGTTAGCACATTGGCATTTTCCCCTTAGGATCTTTAGAGTATTGTTACAGGTTTCAGCAAAAATCCAGATGGCCTTCCTGATACCCTTTCTTTAGTGACTGGAAAGAAAAAGAAAATTAATTTCAGTGTCAGACTCAGCACTGTTTCAAGCAGTATTTGTTAGTGCTTCTTAAATTAATGATTTTCTCTGGATTGTAAACTCTTTTCTCTGACTTTAATATTATCTCTTCCCCAAATTTGTGGGTTTTGTCAATTATAAAGCAACATGTGCTCTTTGTAAATGAAAAACAACAGAAAATTCATGCAGTCCTGAAGCATAGAACGTGAAGGGTGAAGTTCCCCTTTTCTAGCTCAGATCCTTTTCTGCACAGTCACCTCCTGCATAGTCATGCTCACCAGATGTCAGAGTCTGCAAAGAATCGTGGTCATTTTCTCCACCCCAGTCCCTGCTGTTGCCTGGTGGTTTCAGTGTCCACCTGTGGGACTCACAGCCTCTGGCCTTAGTACTGTCCTCTTTGTTCCTAGGATCTGCTTCTCTCCTCTCCTCTTCTCTTCTCTGTCTCAGCCACCCACTCCCATGGTCCAGACTCATGAATTCGGGCATCCCAGTCCTTAAGCGTAATCTTCTCACCTTCCAGATTTCCTGACTACCACCTCAACCGTTGCCTTATTTTTTCTACCCTATCAACCTTCTTTTTATCATGTCTCCTTTTGTCCAGCTTCTATTCCATGATCCATTGTTTCAGTAACACTCTTGCCGCTACCCTAAACTCCATCCCAGTCTTTTTTTAAAAAACACACTCAAACGGCATATTCCCAACCCTGAATGAACCAACACATGAGCAGCTAAGAAATATAAGAAAGAAGATTCACACCAGAGAACACAGTGGGGACATCATCAATTCACTCACTTGCTTTCTGCTGAATTTATTCTCCCATTGCTTGCTCCTCCCTGTTCACCCACTCATTTATTTGCTCTTTTCACTTGCTCACTCATTTATTCTTCCACTATTCTGTAAACTGATGTTTCTTGGTCATCTGCTATGTGCCTGTAGGGCCCCCATGCGGCCCACAGCCCCACTGTGTTTGCTTGGTTGGCCTGCTCTACTCCTCTTTGTGTTATCAATATTTCAAACTCCTTCACTCTCCTCTGATGTTCGGCTCCCTACATACTCCTTCTCCATCTTTTCAAAACAACCGGATCTCTTGTGTCACCAGGAAATCCAGAGCCATCAGACTTTTTCTCAGAACCTTAAGTTGATTTAAAATTTTCATCTTCATTAACTTTATCCTGAATCTTTATTTTTTGTCCAGAACACCTGAGATATTCTGAACAGAGGCTTATTTTTGTTAATTATCTCACAGGGAACAGTAAGTGTGTTGCCCTTTGCCTGTTGATTACCCCCAGGGGTAGAGTCATAGGGATTTTTCCTACATAAGTGGTAGTGGCTTTTCTTTGCTCTTGATGGGAAGGACACAGCTTTCCCCACCCCTCCAGAAAGGGTTTCCTTGGAAATGGCATGGGCCGGAGTCCTACCTCTACTCCTTTGTTGGGTAGATAAAATCTACCCAGGAGCCAGACTTAGAGATGTCTCTCGTCTTATTATTACACATACTGTTACACCTGTTTAGTCCACAATATATTAAGGATTTACTATGTGCTATGGTGTCAGGATACAGCAATAAATGAAACATGAAAACCCATGTCTGATGGAGCTTGCATTCTGGTGAAACAGATAGGCAGTGGACAAGATGAGTTCCACAGTGTAGTAATTGTGATAGTATGTGGGAGATAAGAAATGCTAAGGATGGGTGGTGTTAGAGGAAGATCTACAGAGAGTGGCCTCTAAGAAGCCATCTGTGGAAGCAAACCTTAGGCAATGAGAGCAGGATGAATGGATGTCTGAGGGCAGGGCCTCCCCGGCAGGGAAAGAAAAAGTGCAAAGACCTCAAGGCAGGAGTACATCATCTGGCATATTCAGGGACAGCAGGGTTCCAGCATGGATAAGGGGAGCCCAGAAGCGGGGCCGGTAGGAGACAAGATCCCAGCCTGACTGGGTCCCAGCTGTGAAGTACCTGTTGTCATAGTAAGGACTTGGGCTTTTCTGAGTGAAGTAGGGAGTCAGGGTTTTGAGCAGAGGAGTGATTTGTTCAGGCCTATGCTTTAACAGGATTATTCTGGCTACTGTGTTAAGAACAGACTTCCAAGAGGCAGGACAGAAGCAAGTGGACCAATTCTTAAGAGGCTTGGGTTAACCTCCATGGGAAATGATCATGGCTTGGAGAGAAAGGAGGTGGTGGATGAGGAAGGGCTCAAATCCTGGGTGTATTCTGCAGGTGGAACTGACACATGGAATGTGTATGGTGCAGTAGGAGGGTCGAGGGGTGAGACTAAGACTTTGGCCTGAGCAGCTGGAAGGTAGAGTTCCATTAACTGAAATAGCATCTAAATCTGCATTGCCTTGCACAGGGTCCTTGGGTCTGTGCCTAGGAACAGAACCACAGTGTCACAGGTCATGCACCTCTTTCCCTTTCCAGTGAGGTGGTGTCAGCATGTTCTCCTAATGCATTGCATGTTCATCCTTTTCCTCCACTTGTATTTCCTGGAAGTTGTTCCATGTCAGTGTGCATTGAGTTCCTCATTCATTTTAATGATGGCATTTCATTGTTTAGGTATACCATAACTTATTTGTCCAAGCTTCCACTGACATCATTTTGGCTATTTCCCACTTTTCATTATTTCTGGTAGTATAGCATGGGTCATCTGTGAATATCTCTTTGCATACTTGTGTGAATACTTATGAAATCTAAGTTCCTAATAGAATTGTATATTTAAAATTGTAGTATTGCCACATTACCTTCTGTAATTTTGCACCAGTTTATACTCTGAATAGTAGTGTACACAGATTCCCATTACTTCACACTTCACCCAAGATGTGTGTGTGTCAGTTCAGGTTACACACTGCACAAGGGGAGGGTTTCATCATGAGGGAATAATGGCTGAAATGCATCTGTGTGCCTTGTGTAGGCTGCATGTGTGTCTTCATCTAAAGGTGCTGTCTGCTCCCATGCCATCTGCGTTGTGGGGACAGTGCACAAGGTGTTTACAGCAGCCTTGTCTTTGTAATTACTTTAACTAGTTTGGTGGGCAAAAAACATTAGACATTTTATTTCTTTTCCTTTCCCTTTCCTGTCCTTCCTTTTGTTCGTTCGTTTGTTCTTTTTTTTTTTTTTTTTTCCGAGATGGAGTCTTGCTCTGTCACCCAGGCTGGAGTGCAGTGGCGTGATCTCGGCTCACTGCAACCTGTGCCTCCTGGGTTCAAGCAATTCTCCTGCCTCAGCCTCCTGAGTAGCTGGGACTACAGGCACCCACCACCACACCTGGCTAATTTTTGTATTTTTAGTAGAAACAGGGTTTTGGCATATTGACTAGAATGGTCTTGATCTCCTGACCTCAGGTGATGCACCCGCCTCAGCCTCCCAAAGTGCTGGGATTACATGCGTGAGCCACCGTGCCCAGCCTGTTTCTTTATTAAGTAAGAGAGCTCTTTTAAAAGAAATTATAATTATATTTCCCCTGTTTACACTTATAAAAAACTAAGAAGATAAGAATAGTTAATTTACAAAACACTAGGATGCACAGTGCAACAACAGGAGAAATCAAAGTTTTTTCAACCAACATAGTTCAGTTGGGAAGGGAAAGATTTTTTCAACTGGATAAACATGCAAGGAAAAATGAAACTCTACTACTCACTCTTACTGTGGACATAGCATTAATTTTAGATGGATTGTAGAATGAACTGTAAAAGGCTAAAACTGTAAAGTTTTAAGAAGAAAATAATATTTTCACAATGTAAAGTAGGCAGATTGCTTACCACACAAAAACCACAAGCTGTGAAAGAAAAAAAGATAAACTTTATATTAAAAACTTATACCTAAAGTCATCATTAGAAAGGCAGAGCAACGGCTGGGCGTGGTGGCTCAGGCCTGTAATCCCAACACTTTGGGAGGCCAAGGCGGGCAGATCACCTGAGGTCAGGAGTTCAAGACCAGCCCGGCCAACATGGTGAAAACCTGTCTCTACTAAAAATACAAAAAAAAAAAAAAAATTAGCCGGGCATGGTGACAGGTGCCTGTAATCCCAGCTACTCAGGAAGCTGAGTCAGGAGAATCACTTGAACCTGGGAGGTGGAGGTTGCGGTGAGCAGAGATCCTGTCATTGCACTCTAGCCTGGGCAACAAGAGCAAAACTCCATCTGAAAAAGAAAAAAGAACAAGATTTACTATAAAATGTAAAATCACCACAATCAAGAGAGTGGTATGTGGTATTGGTGAAAAGATAGATACACAGGTCAGTGGAACAGAACAGAGGACCCCAGATAAGTCCATACAGATATGGTTGGTTTATTTTTGACAGTGGTGTAAAGGCACCTCTTAATATATTCCATGGAGAAAGTGTAATCTTGTCAACAAATGGACTAGAAAACTAGATGTGTATATGCAAAAATAAATAAATAAATAAATAACCTGTACAGCTCACATTTTATACAAAAATGAACTCAAAATGGATCATATACCTAAATGTAGAATGTAAAACTGTAGAACTTATGGAAGAAACCCAAAGGAAAGTCTGCATGATCTTGGGCAGAGTTTTTAGATATGATACCAAAAGCACAATCCATAAAAGAAAAAAATCTATAATTTGCATTTTATCAAAATTTTAAAATTCTACTCTCAGAGAACACATTTGTAAGTCACATATCTGACAAAGGGTTAGTATCCAGAATAATAAAGAACACTTAAAACTCAACAATAAGAAAACAGCCCAGTAAAAAATTGGGGAATAGTTTTGGTGAACCTGTACTTCACCAAACAACTTGCATGGATTGCAGAGAAGCCCATGCAAATAAGCAGAGAAAAATAAGCATGTGATGCCCAACATAATTTATTGTTAGGGAAACAAATGCAAGCAATCCGGAAGGTAAACACTGCAGCTAGCCTAAGGCCACAGTACCATTTGGGGCAAGCAGCTGACCAGCTAGAGATATAACAGTATGTTCTGGGGAATGAGACTGCCACAGTGGGCCTAGGTGATTTGGAAGGCTGTGCACCTTCTTCATAAGGTACCAGCACAGGCCTACATCAGTAGCTAAGATGAAAGAACAATCACGAAGCATCCCAGTGCTGGCAAGGACAGTGCCAAGTGCTGGCAGGAATATGCTCTCC
This sequence comes from Homo sapiens, assembly GCF_000001405.40. Taxonomy (NCBI): domain Eukaryota; kingdom Metazoa; phylum Chordata; class Mammalia; order Primates; family Hominidae; genus Homo; species Homo sapiens. The sequence goes on from NT_187647.1 coordinate 147,244, forward strand.
AATCCTGCTACTGGGAATGCAGAATGGCACAGCCACTCTGGAAAACAGTGTGGCAGCTTCTTACTGTGTTACACTGCCTTAGGACCTGGCAGTCTCACTTCTAGGTGTTTACCCAAGGTAAGTGAAAATTCATGCTCACACAAAACCTGCATGTGACTGTTAATAGAGTTTTATTCAGTAATTGCCAACACTCAAAATCAGATATCCTTCAACTGGTGAATGAATAAACAAATTGTGGTAACATCTCTACAGCAGAATACCACTCAAAAGTCAAAAGGAACAAACTATTAATTCCCACAACATGGATGAATCTTAAATTCGTTTTGTTTAGTGAAAGAAACCAAACCTAAAAGGCCTCCATACTGTATGATTCTATTTAAAGGATGCTCTAGAAAAAGCACAACCATAAGGAAGAAGAACAAATCAGTGGTTGCCAGGGGTTAAGAGTTGGGGAAAAGGAGTTGATTACAAAGAGAGCGAGAGGCAGTTTGGGGAGTGATGGGACTGTGTTAGATTTGACTGTGCACCTGTCAAAACCCATGGAACTGTGCACCACAAAATTTCACTAAAATCAACAAAGATGTTTGTGTGTGTGTTACTGGGGGGAGTGCCCAAGTGATACAAACTGTGACAGATGAATCAAATGGTATTACAAACTTATCCCATAATCCAGGGGTCCCCAACCCCTAGGCCACGGATCGGTACCTGTCCGTAGCCTGTTAGGACCTGGGCCACAGAGCAGGAGGTGAGCAGAGGGCAGGCAAGCATTACTGCCTGAGCTCTGCCTCCTGTCAGGTCAGCAGCAGCATTAGATTCTCATAGGAGCATGAACCCTATTGTGAACTGTGCATGTGAATGATCTAGGTTGCTCACTCACTCCTTTTGAGACTCTAACTATGATGTTAGTGTGATGATCTGAGGTGGCACAGTTTCATCCTGAAACCATCCCCCCTCCTCGCCCCAGTCTGTGGAAAAACTGTCTTCTAAGAAATTGGTCCTTGGTGCCAAAACGGTTAGGGAATGCTGCCATAACCATAGTGAAATGGATGTGGAATTAGCTGACCTATCAGTAACTTTGGAAAACAGTGTTTTGACAGGATGCTGTAAGGCTAAAGATAAAACCTCTGGTTAGTGCACTTGTTTCTCATAGGGGCATGGGTTAGCAATCTCAAAACTGTACGTATTCTAGGAAGAAGTTACAAATAAGGAAGGATGGTGCTAGAGTTATCCTGTGGTTCTGGATCAGGGTTGGAGGTGTCAGCATGAACTAGGGCTGTTGGTTTTTTCAGAGAGAGAGAAATGTGGGTCTATGCATGTGTGAGTTAGTGTAACACATCTGTTTTCTAAGTCTGTCGACAGAGGGCCTTAGAGCAGTGACACCTGCATCAGTGACCAGAGCCAGCCTGAGATGGTGGATCCTAAGGGCTCCTCAGGGAAGGGGTTGGTTCCAGGGCTGGGGTAGGGCAAATGAAAGGTGAGTGATGGCAGCCTGTCAGATATCAGAAGGGTAGATGTCCGTCAAAAAGTGCTGCATTGGCCAAAGCTGGAGCAGTTCGAGCCACAGGATAGACAACAGTAGTAATGGATTACAACCTAAAAAAGAAAAGAAATAGCCATCCATTTAGGCTGATATCAATACATAAATGAATGCATAAGTGAGGGATAAGGAACAGTTCTTCCTTGTAAAATTCCAGTTAATAAATGTAGAAGGAATAAGGGAAATAGAAAATCACCATGATAATTGTTATAAGCACAGTCCCTTGACAGATGCAGCAAGGTGAAATCTAACAGGTGAAAGAATTAGGAGAAATAGAATTATCTGCCAAGTCTCCCCCCAAATAGCTATTCATTACAAAGGGAACAATACTTTACAGTGGAGAAACCTGGCAGACACAGCCCCAACCAAGAACTCAAAGGTGGCATCATATTGGCAGCAGGTACCTGTGATGTGGTGCTGTGTGAGTGGCACATCATCTGTGGTGGTTTTCCCTAAGCTGAATCAGGAGAAAACAGCAGACAAACCCAATTTGAAGGACATTCTACAAAATAATTGACCAGTACTCTTCAAGGTGATGAGAGGAGACTACAAACTCTTCTGGCATGGGGGGCCATGGAAGTGTGTCAGCTAAGTACAGTGTGGATCCTGGACTGGGCCCAGCAGCAGACAGGCTCTGGTGGGTGGCCTGGCAAAACAGCAAAGCCTGTGGTTGAGCTGGGAGTACCATGCCAGAGTTCCTCTTCTGGTGTTGATCCTTGTTCTATGGCTGCATGAAGGTGGGTGGAAACTTGGGGACACCGTGTGTCCTGCCTCTGAAACTCTTGTGCAAGTCTAAAATCATCTTTAAAAGTCTTCTTAAGTCATCATTAAGAAAATTAATAGGCAAGCCAGAGACATCACGTAGTCTGACTGTGCTGTCAGTCATGTCTGGGGCCTGCGTCAGCACAGGACTCATGATGGTGGCTTACCTCTTAGCTCCCAAGGAGAGGCAGAGTGGTGAGCCTCCCTGGTGATTGACTTAATAGCTATATGGAGCTTTCTATGGTGTCTTGATTGGGTATGTGTTACAGGAGGTACACAGGTCAGGACTCCCTGAACTGTACTTAAAAGTCTATTCTGCTGTATATGAATTATGCCTCAGGAGAGAGAAGAGAACTTATGCTCCATTTGGAATTTATCTTGGAGCATGACGTGAGGAACAAATCTGTTTGTGTCTTTGTGCAGTAGCTGTCCAGTTACTGCAGCAGCACTACTAACTGAAAAGCCCCTTTCCTGCTGTGTTGAGATATCTCTTTTTCCCATACTAAATTTCCATGGGCAATTGGGGCTACAGGGTTTTCTCTCTGTCTTCATGGACTTCCCTCATCACACTGATGTAAATAGAGAGGCTTAATACTGTGTTTTCATGTCAGCTGGGGCTAGAGTCTTCACCATTGTGGTTCTTACTCAGAGTTGTCTGGTTATTTGTGCTTACTGGTTCTTCTTCTCCTTTTATTTTAGATACAGAAGGTCCATGTACAGATTTGTTACATGAAAATATTGCATGAGGCTGGGGTTTGGAGTACAGATCCTGTCACCTAGTTAGTATAGTACCCAATAGGTAGTTGTTTTTAACCCACCCCCACTCCCTCTACCTTCTAGTAGTCCCCAGTGTCTGTTGTTCCCATATTTGTGTCCATGTGTGCTCAATGTTTAGCTCCCATTTATAAGTGAGAACATGTGGTATTTGGTTTTCTGTTCCTGCATTAATTTGCTTAGAATTAAGTCAAGCTCCATCCATGTTGCTGCAAAGGGTGTGATTTTATTCCTTTTTTATGGCTGTGTAGTATTTCATGATGTATAGGTGCCACATTTTCTTTATCCAGTCTACCATTGATGGGCACCTGGGTTGATTCTGTGTCTTTACTATTGTTAATAGCGCAGCAATGAACATGTGAGTGCCTGTGTCTTTTTGGTAGAATGATTTATTTTCTTTTGGATGTATACCCAGTAATGGGGTTGCTGGATAGAATGGTAGTTCTATTTCAAGTTCTTTGAGAAATCTGTAGACCACTTCCCACAATGGCTGGACTGATTTACATTCCTGTCAACAGTGTATAAGCATTCTGTTTTCTCCTCAGCCTTGCCAGCATCTGTTGTCTTTGACTTTTTAGTAATGGCCATTCTGACTAGTGTCAGATGGTGTCTCATTGTGGTTTTGATGCATTTCTCTAATGCTGTGTGGTACTGAGCCTTTTTCATGTTTGTTGGCCACTTATATATCTTCTTTGAGAAGTGCCTGTTCATGTCCTTTGCCCATTTTTTTTTTTTTTGAGACGGAGTCTCACTCTGACGCCCAGGCTGGAGTGCAGTGGCGCAATTTCCGCTCACTCCTTTGCCCATTTGTTAATGGGGTCGTTTGTTTTTTTGCATAAGTTCCCTGTAGATTCTGGATATTAGGCCTTTGTCAGATGCATAGTTTGCAAATAGTTTCTCTCATTCCGTAGGTTGTCTGTATTCTCTGTCAATAGTTTCTCTTGCTGTGCAGAAGCTCTTTCATTTAGTTAAGTTCTACTTGCCAATTTTTGTTTTTGTTGCAATTGTTTTTGGGAACTTAGCCAAAAATTCTTTGCCAAGGCCAACGTCAAGAAGAGTATTTCCTAGGTTATCTTCCAGGATCTTACAGTTTGAGGTCTTACATTGAAATCTTTAATATATTTTGAGTTAATTTTTGTATATGGTGAAAGGTAGGGGTCTGGCTTCAGTCTTCTGTATGTGGCTAGCTAGTTATTCCAACACCATATATTGAATAGGATGGTCTTTTTCCACTGCTGCTTTTGCTGGCCTTGTCAAAGATTGGATGGTTGTAGGTGTGTGGCTTTATTTCTGAGTTTTCTGTTCTGTTCATTGGTCTGTGAGTCTGTTTTTGTACCAGTACAGAAGCTGTTTTGGTTACTGGGGCTGTATAGTATAGTTTGAAGTTGAGTAGTGTGATGCCTCTGGCTTTGTTCTTTTTGCTTAGGATTGCTTTGGCTATTTGGGCTCTCTTTTCATTCCATATGAATTTTAGGATAGTTTCTTCTTGTTCTTAAATGCATTTTATAATTAACTTGTTTAGCTCTAAGAAAAAAACTTGATTTTGTATTGGAATAGCATTAAATTTAATATTTTTTAAAAATGTTTCATCTACTTCTAACTTACTGCAAAGAGTTTTATAAAGTTGCCTGTAATGATTTTTTAATGTTTTTCTTCATTTTTATAAAGGAAACATCCTTGTAACCACACCCAGGTCAAGGAATAGAACTTTATCAATCATCCCAGAAGCGCCCACCACATGTCCCATTTCTATTATAACCTACTTCCTCTCCTCAAAAATAACCACTTCCCAAACTCTTAATGGTAATCATTTCCCTAATCTTTATAGTTTTATCACCAAGTGTATATCCCTAGACACTATAGTTTAGTGTTGTTTTATTCTTAAAATTTGATATGTTTTTAAAGTCTCTTTTAATCTACACATTTTTCTCTCTATCCCTTTCTTTTCCTTATCTTTTACAATGTTTAAGTTTTCTTCTGTTAGCACTTGTAACTTTCTTATTTTTTTTTTTTCTAATCAGATACCTAGTGGTTTGTTTTGGTTGATTATTTTCTCTTGAGAGCCAGCTTTTGGATTTACTTCTTAGTTCTATTCTTTTTCTACTTAATAATATCTGCTTTTATTTGTAATAATTCACCCCTTTCTTTTGGTTCACTTATTCTTTTTCTGGCTTTTTCAGTTATATGTTTAAATAATTTATTTTTATTATTTAAATTTGTGTTGATATAGGTATTTAATGCTATAAAGTTTCCTGTGACAGTTACTTTTTTTCTGAGTCCTATAAATTCTCTATATATTTTCCCAGCCTTTTATAGCTGTATATCTTATATGCAGTATGGTGTTTGATTTTGCTTTGTGAGCCAATCCAAGACTGTTTTCCATTTAATAGGTGAGCCAAGTCCATTTTTTACATCACAGATAACAGGGAACCACCTTGTTCTATTTTATTTGCTTTTACCCTTTTGGTATTTAAGAGGGCTTTCTTCCTCCCTTTTTTTTCCCACTTTTATCCTAATGCCTTTATAGCAAACACTTAGTTTCTTTGGTTGGCTCCCCATAGTACCTGATACTGCAGTTAGCTGATGGACACCCCAGTCCCAGTTGGCTCCTGCACATCTTCTGCCCGCCCCTACCACTTCTCTGGTGGTTGTTCTTTGTCTGCATTGTCCAAGCTGGTAACCATGGCATGCTGCACTTTTATCACCGTCATGTGCCAGCAGCTCCACAGATAAATACAGACCACCTGCAGCTCACCTTTGCATCTGCCTCTAGTCATTTTGGTTTCTGGAGCTTATTCTTTAGTGGGTCATCCCTCAGCTCCTGGTCACTGTACTTCCTGTGTTTGTGTGTACTCATAAAAAATATGTGTGACTTTTACCCTTGATAGTCACTATTTAGATGTTAAATCTTTGGCTTATATTTTTTCCCTTAAATATCTTAAATATGTTACTGAACCTATTCTATTCTGGACCTGTAATCCCTACTACAAAGCTACTCACAAGTCCAGTTTTCATCATTTCTGGACATGCATTCTTAAGGGGGAGGAATTTATAGAACTGGAAGCCATGTTAATATCCTAGTCATGAGGTGGCTGAGATTTAGTCTGTCCAGGTAAGATGGTGCAGGTAGGGAGTGTGGTGGTCCAAGTGGCACACGCAGGAAGTCACAGAATGTGGGAGGCATTGTTTTGTGTACCCTGTGCACAGAGTGTCTGATGCCCTTTGATAGGTTTGCGGCCTCATCTGGTGGACTTTCTGGCACAGCCCTTCCTCGAGGTTGCTGCATCTGAAGCTCTTTAAGACGGCGTTTCCCTTCTGCCAGATTGCACTCTGTGCACAGTGCGGTTGCTTCTCCCTGCGGAATGAGATGGGCCCACATAGGCAGTGGCTCCACCTGGCCTTGGTGCTCTTGCCGCCCTCTGCTCTGCTGCTCCCTTCGTGTAAGAAGGGTGTGTTAAGAGTCCGTAAGTGTGTCGTGTTAGATGTTTAGGAAGGAAATGTTAATTCTGAAAATAGGTTTCACATCTTTTTTTTAACTTATATAAAATTGACTGGACTTTCTCTTCTGTGTGTTGTGTTAGATATTTAGGAAGGAAATGTTAATTCTGAAAATAGGTTTCACATCTTTTTTTTAACTTATATAAAATTGACTGGACTTTCTCTTCTGGATTATCTTCTTATAATTAGAGACTAATAACACACTGATACGAAGTAGCTTTATATCAGGAAAATGGATAAATGTAAACATTTGCCTACCAGGAGAAAATAATACGACCTGATTGGAAAATGTACAGATAAAAAGCTAAGTTTAGTAGGTAGCCATTGATGAACACAGTCTAACTTAAGACAACAATTGGGGATTGTTAGAGCAGAGATTGTAGCTCCCTTCTGGGGAGGAGCTGACCAAAATGTCCTCCAGCTCCTGCTTGACAGAAGAGGTGCAGCCAAATTGATCCAAAGGAAATGTCAGAGGAGGCCAGGGTGGGAATTATCAGCAACTGTGTTTGAGGATTTGTTCCACTTTGTTTTGGTTTTGGTGAAATTATCACAGTCTGCATGTTATATGACCTTGGCACTTAGAGTCATGGCAACTTGTTGCATTTATGCGAGATTTTTTCTCCCTAAAGTCTCTTCTGTTTGATAGCATATATGTACCTTTCATAATCAATATCAAACTGAAGTAGCTTGAAAAGATAGATAATTTTATTCATTTTCTGGGATTCCATAACCACAAACTCGGTGGCTTAAAACCACAGAAATGTATGTCCTCACAATTCTGGAGGCCAGAAATCCAAAATCAAGGGCTCGGCAGGGTTGCTTCCTACTGGCAACTCAGGGAAGTTGAGTTTATGAGTATGTATTATTTTTTATTATGTGTAGTGTAGTACTTTAATAATTATTAAAAATTAAATCATTCACAAATGTTGGTCATTTTTCTTACTGGTAACAAAAGTTTTGTGACATATCTTACAGCAATATAGTTAAGAACTGATGCCCTTGATTAGCAATTTTAAAAACCGGAGGCTTATCCTAGCCTGTCTTATTTTCCTAGACTTGTGTGGAAATGATTTGAAGATGATGGCCCATAACAGCACATTTCTGTAAAGCCTGTGCTTAGAACCCTAGAGTGGTCTGGGAGATGAAGATTAAGACCTTGTTATCCATCTCTTAAGGAAAATACCATCAGAGGAAAATGCAAATCTTATTATAGGTCATCACTAGAATGAGGATTGTAATTTATAGAAATTGGGGTTTAATTATGAGAAATAGTTCCGTTCTTGGCTCTCGTTTACTTCTATTTGGAGATGTTTTGTTGATTCTTCTCTATTCTCTTCTCTTCCTTTTCTTGAATGGAAAGGAACTTGGAAAACTCATGCCCTGTCCTTGGGCTTGTCAGAGGAAACTTGGAATGTCATTGCCTTTTGGGCACATTTGCAAGCAAGGGGGTGACATATGCTGTGGTGCAGCCTGGGTGTGGGGAGTTAAGGGCTGTTAGCTCCATCATTCAGACATGTTTTAAGTTTATGGAAACTCTGTGTTTTATACAAGTGCATTTGTGCCCTGTGTTTTCCGCTTGTGTTGTATAATGTTCTGTTCTTTGTTTTTAACACTTCCCGCCCCCACCCCATCCCTCCGACATGCACCTCAGACAGCATGAACAAGACAAGCTGCTACTTCCTCTCCTCTCTTGCACCCTGTTTATCTTTAATTGCAGCAAAATACACATAACATAAAATTGCCATCCTAACCATTTTTAAATGTACAGTTCAGTGGTGTTAAGTACATTCACATTATTGTGCAACCATTACCACCATCCATCTCTAGAACTTTTACATCTTCCCACACTGAAACTCTGTCCCCATTAAACGCTAACTTTTCATTCTCCAGCACCCCCAGACCTGGTAACTGGCTTTCTATTTTCTGTCTGTATGATTTGACTTTTCTGAGTACCTCATATAAGTCAAATCAGACAGTATGTGTCCTTTTGTGACTGTCTTATCTCAGCGTAACGTCCTCAAGTTTCAGCCCTATTGTAGCATGTGTCAGCATTTCCTTTTTCAGACTGAATAATGTTCCATATTGTGTATAGTGTACACCACATTTTGCTTATCTATTCATCCACTGATGGACATGTGGGTTGCTTCCATGTTTATCTGTTGCAAGTAATACTGCTATGAACGTGGGTATACAAGTATCTTTCATTCTCTGCTTTCAGTTCTTTTGAATATATACCCAGAAGTGGAATTGCTGGATCATATGGTAATTCTGTGTTTAATTTTTTGAAGAACCTCCATACTGTTTCCTATAGTAGCTATATCATCCTCCATTTCCACCAACATTGCATGAAGGATCCAGTTTCCCCACATCCATGTCAACACTTGTTAAACTTTTTTTTTTTAATTTGCCAGTAGCCTCATAATGAGCGTGAGGTAGTATCTCATTGTAGTGTTAATTTGCATTTACCTAACAATTCGTGATGTGGAGCATCTTTTCATGCGCTTATTGGCTGCTGTGTCTCTTCTTTGGAGAAGTGTCTGTTGAAGTTGTTTGACATTTTTTAATCAAGTTGTTGGGCAGGTTCCCTTGTTTTTAAGTCAGAGTAGGTGATGTTTGTCTTGAAGGTTATAAAAAGAGAACATGTTTGCTATGACATGTAGTTGATTGCTATGAAATGTAGTTGACACATGCAGAATAGAAAGATTTATAAATTAAATACTCCTTTATTAACATTTTAATGTGTCAAATTTAAATTTCAGAAGCATTCATCTTTCTTCTCTACTTGTACATTTTTATTTACCTGACAGTGTAAAACCCACAACCAAAAAATAATGGCTTTTTCCCCATTTAAAATACTTTGTAAAAATAGTAGCCTAGTTGTCATTTGTGAGCCCAGGCTTGGTCCTCAAGTCTGACATAGACTCCCCAAGGCCCTAACGCTGAAGTTCTCTGAGCCCTACCACTGCCCAGGCAGGCCCAGGAAGTGTCCCAGCAGTGCCCAAGAAGGTCACCATCACCTGTGGAATCCACAGTGTGGGTAGCCCCCAGGGAGCCACAGCCATGTAGACCCAGATTCACAGGAGGATGCGGTTACTGCAAGCATCTGAACCTGGCCCCACCACCTATGGGCAGAGTTGGTTCCAGCTCAGTGTGTCCATGGGATGTCTTTAGGTTCACCTTGCTTTTCTGTCCCACGCTCATATGTTGGAGCTAAGCTGCATGGAGTGTCGTTCTCCCTGTACATATGAGATTAGTCAGCAATCCTGTCTCCTTCCATATTCTGTCTTTATTTCTGCGACACTATTTCTGGAGAACATCGTATTTGTGCTTTTCCTTTGATATGTTTGTAATTTTCGTTAGAAAAGCCCTTTTAGATTCTAAAGCTTCTACATTCAGTATTTCAATCAATGATAACAAACTGGTGTAAGACTAAATATAAAATACAAACATCAACACATTTCCATAAATTGCTGTTATAATGTCTGCCACAAAAAGTTCAGTTGTTTGTATGTTTTTCAAATGTGCTTTGCTTGTCTTGATGATTTACAACTGTTGGCACTGCTGTTTAAGTCTGTTCTGACAGTGAGAAAGTGACTCATTTGGCAAAGTCAGCTGTTTTTTACTAAAAGTGAATAGTGGTGAGTGGAAAGGGGCTTGTGTACAATTTTCTTGTCAAAGAACGATGACCGGCAAATAAGCAATTTTAGTTCCTTGGATTTGAGCACCACTCTCGCATGCCTCCACCAACCAGCTTGTCTCCACAGAGCTTCCTTCCTCACTTTACACTGAAAATCTGTTATCAGTGTGTGGAAAATAAAAATTTTACACATCTTTAGTTTTGAGGATGTGGATTACTATTTACAGGTGTTTTTTTTTTTCTGTAAGGAAGACATTTTTTTAAAAAGTAAAAGGTGTTCCCATTGTTTAGTTATTGCCTTATGATTTGATTTTCTTGTTTCACAAAGAACAGCTTTTAATTAAACGTATTTAAATAGTAAAAATATACATGTCACTTCACCTGGTTCCAGTTAAATGTGTTAACAGTGTATGTGGTTGGTGCTTAATAAAAACATGTTCAGTGCAGTAATAATTAACTTCAGTTAAACCCTTAAAACATATAGGGAGTAAACAGAAATGTTGAGTGGTTACTCAGCATGGGGTAAGGGATACATCAAGTCATTGGTCAGTATTGGGTATCATCATGTTCTTACCATCTTTTTTCTGGAGTTTTAATAGTTGTTTTTTAAAAAATCTCTGTTTTAATAAGCCATTTTGATGTTTGAAACTACCTTGGATAAGCATATCAAGACCCTTCAGAGATTCTAAAACATGTTCAGCACTTTCTGGTACAATATTCTCAAAGAACCAGGATACATCTTATTTCTCAAAATGAAACAAAAATGTATTAGACATTACCCCTGTGATTTCAAGCCCACAGTCTGTCACTTTGAAGTATTTGTATCCTTTTACAAAAGAAAAGCCAAATGAAGATCTCCCTGAAAAAATATTTTAATAGAATATGTCTTTATTTCAGTATCTTAAATAGCGAAGATGGAGAAATACTCAATAATGAAGAGCATGAATATGCATCCAAAAAAAGAAAAAGGACCATTTTAGAAATGACACAAATACTCAAAGTAAGATCATTCTCATTAATTTTATTTTACTTGTTGATTATGTTGAAATACTAAATTACTCTGACAGTGCTATCTTATGAAATAAAAGGTGATACAAATATGTAAATAACAGCCCAGTATCCAGCATTGCCTACATATTTAGTGATCAAACTTTTTGCAGCCCAACGTTTCAGTGGGTAAGATGTGCAAAAACAAAATAAGAGATAGCAAAACCCACAAAACAGCCCATGAATCTGAATGCTTGAATTATGGTCATGAATTCAGCTCAATCTTGAGCAGTGAGGCCAAACTGAGAGGTGTCCTGACTTGAGTTTCGAAGTCATTGAAGATTCACAGCAGGAGACAGACATTCAGAGCTGGAGTTTAGGATGTTAGATGGCAGCAGGGGAAGGCTGGAGGTGGGACCTATCTGTGAGAGGGCATAGAGTTCTATCATGCAGCATATCTGTGAGTTACCAAGACACCTGTTAATGTATAGTAGGCTCCCTTACCTCGGGATAGACCTCCAGTGGATGCCTGAAACTGTGGATACTACCAAACCTTATGGATACTATGTTTTTTTTTCTGTATATACACACTTATAATAAAGTTTAATTTATAAATTAGGTGCAGTAAGAGATTAACGAGAATAATAATAAAATGAAACAGTTATAGCAAGATGGCCACCATCACTGCTCTTGCACTTTGGGGCTATTATGAAGTACAGTAAGGGTTCTTTAAACACAAGCACTGTGATATCTCAACAGGTGATCCGATAACCAAGACGGCTACTGAGTGACCAAGGGGCGGGTAGTGTAGGACTCGCTTGACAAAGGGAGGATTTGCATCCCAGGCAGGACAGAGCCGGACGGTGTGAGATTTCATGACACCACCCAGAATGGCACACAATTTAAAGCTTATGAATGGTTTATTTCTGGAATTTTCCACTTAATGTTTTCAAACCAAAGCTGACTGTGGGTAATTGAAACTGTAGAAGATGAAACTGTGAATACGGGGGGACTACTTTATGAAGAAGATAGGGTCACATGGAGAATACAGTTAGTGTGATTCTTGAAACTTTTAAGATTTATCTGAAAAATTTGTTTCTATGGAGTACTATACACAGCAACAGAAGAATAGAACTTTTTATTAGGGTACATAGGAATGTAGTAATGTAATTGCATTTTATAATCATTTATGTCTTCATATGGCTTCAGTCATTAATAATACTAATTTTCTTCTAAGTTACTAGGACTTGGTACTGTCTGAAATCATTGTTCATATCTTAAACTGATTTAAGAAACAAAGCAATTCTGTTTGCATTCAACCAAGTAAAAGCATTTCTTGTCAATATAGTAAGTCAGATAATTTTGTTAACATGTCCAATTATTTAAATTCCTTTAAAATCTTCATTTTGAAATGATTTGCCAGATTTTAAAAACAAAGGTAATTTTTATTCTAGGTTTTTATCATGAAAAATGGATCTATGTCCATAAAGAAAGCACAAAAGAAGTAAGTATTCTATTATAAATAAGAGAGTATCTTGGATTGTTTCTGTTGAATATGGAGTCACATTAAATAAATGTATTAATAAAGTTGCATAAAACACATTTCTTTTGCAATGTCAGATCTATGGTTCACATTCTGACAGATAATAGCATATGAGGAGCTTTTGAGGCAGTGATTCGCCACTGTGTGTGCTTGCATGTGCATGTGGTATGTGGCTGTGTATTTGTGCACACATTGGTGTGTGTTGTGTGTATGGTGTATGTGTGTTGTATGTATGGTGTGTATGTATGGTTGTGCATGTATTTGTGCACACATTGGTCTGTGGGATGTATGGTGTGTGGTGGCATGTGGTATATGTGTGCAGTGTGTGGTTCCTGCCTACCTGTACATATCTGAGTCAACAGCAGGGCTATTTAAACCAAGCATGGACTCCTGCGGTCATACGCATTTTCTCTGTGTTAGCATGAACCCCTGATGCTGATGGGAATGTGTCCTCCCTGTGGCATGTTTTGGAGGGCAGGGCATCTGTGAGCCCTCTAATTCCACATAAAGAGTGGCTAACATGAAATTAGTAATTGGGTTGGGTTTGTGCAGAGCCATGTGAACTCTTTCCCTGCCTTTCTTTTGCCAAGTTGGGCTAAAGCTTTTTCATGAGCCATAAAACAAACCAGAGAGCTTCAAGCTGTTTCCTGTTTCTTTACTAGGATCCGGGAAGTTGAGTTCCTTTTATAGTCCTAGAAACTCTGCATTTGCTTTATTTTGCAACAATTGGGGAAAATAATTTAGGGAATTACTGTCTATCGTATGTTATTTCAGGGTAAGTTAAATATTCCAGAAATGTTTGTAGATGCTCTGAAACTAGTCCAGCTTCCAAGAAACTGAAGGATTAGATTCTGAGAAAGAAAACTTAATCTGTTTGTTTATGGTTAGTGGGTATAGAATGAATCAGATCCTTAATATACACTCGAATACACCATTAGACGATTATTTGACAGAATCTAACCTAGTTTGTAAAAAACAAAATTTAGTGCTCATGAAAGACCATTAAATATTTCATCTGCTCTGTTGCCATACTGATTACAGAACAGAGGATCCCATCCAAGCTAGCATATACAGGAAAGGAGGATCTTATTGTGAGGCTGTGGGGATGTTCCCTGGAATCCTAGGAACCAGGACCTAACAAGGCTGAGAGGGACCAGAACTAGGACTGGGTGCTGGTGTCCCTGCACCACGTCATGTCTCCACACCCTCACCTGGTATAGAGCAAGTGCCTGCTGCT